>NC_000023.11:87311026-87614057 GCF_000001405.40 Homo sapiens | reverse complement strand
TAAAAATACTTACCTATGGGCTGGGATGCGGAGGTGTCCTGCAATCAGTAGCACATCACATAGTTGTTTCTCTTTCAAGTAGTTCTCCATTTTACGAAGAGTTTGCTCTGCGTGGTTTATAACATGGAACTGCTCTTCAGATCTGGTGGCATTCATGTCTTCAGAGTGTTGTGTATCTAATCTGAAAAGGAAGTAAGGATGAGAATATGGTTCATCATATAATTTTGTAAAAAATTTAATTTTTCTCTAATGAGAGTACAAACATGTAGTGGAAATTTAGGCATACCAACTTCTAAAGGAAATATGTTGGATTAAAGTAAAATTAAAATCTGTTTTCCGATCTTAGATATTTTACTATAATTACTACCTAACCTCTCATTAAAGTGAAGTGTGCTGGTTATTATTTATATCTGAAATGTAACCAGAACTATGTACAATTCACCAATAGGGCTAGTGCTGGTTGTTATATTCACAGACATAAAACCTACATTCTTTGATTTATATGGGTATTATAATTACGTCAATAGGCAGGAAACCCTTAGACCTGAGTCAAAATACTTTTAAAATTTTTGATTATGTCCTGAAGCTTCTCCCTGGAGTACTCATTACACATCAGAAATATTCCTCAAAGAATTTCAAGCCTAAGGGTTTCATAGCATTCTTTACACTATCAATCCCATTAAGAAACTGGACATAATTCCACCTTTTATTTCTTAATATTTAGTCAAACGTGATAGCTATTGAATTTACAATAATAAAAGCAAGCTACCTGTATTTTCAACATCACACAATGGTGGAATTTAAATCTCAACACAAGTACACACAGGCTTACAATCAGTAGGAGATGAACAATTGATTGATAAGATGAATGCACTTAATTATTTTGCTTATTACATTTCTTGCATCCAGGCATCATTTTCTAACCACCAGTTAGGATTAGTTTTAGATCTCCTCACTCCCGATTCAGTCTGTGTTTCTTTTAAGACAGTTGGTCCAAGGTGATATTACTTTCTCTGTTCAATTCAAATATATTATCACTCTTTAAATCTTCAGTCATAATATTGTACTGATAAGAAGGGATCATGGTATGAATAGCTCAAAAATTGCCTGCTACCTCCCTTCAGATGCACTCTTGTTGACTTGTTCTGGAAAAGAACAATTTCTTGGCACCGTAGACTGAAAAGCATTCAGGTTGCACTTAACTCAAATTATCCTAATCTTTTCTCTTTTCTAGTAATGATTCAGTTCACATTAATTGAGTCAAACATTCAATGTCGAATTAGCTTAGCTCCCAAAGTGCTGGGATTACAGGTGTGAGCCACCGCACCCTGCCATGCTTACTGGATAATTTTATGTGAAGAAATGATGTATCCCTATTTGTGAAATAAGTATTTTAATATACCACATGTGATTATAGCGTAAAATATGCTGTTGTAAATCACGAAAATTATTATTTGAATGACAATATTATGCAGTCTTGTGTCACTCAACAACAGAGATACATCTGAGAAATGCATCATTAAGGGATTTGTTGTTGTGCATCATTATAGACTGTACTAACCCAAAGCTACATGACCTAGCCTACCACTTAACTAGGCTATGTGGTTTATGGTATAGCCTATTGCTTCCAGTTTACAAACCTGTACAGCATGTTACTGTACTGAATACAATGTAGGCAACTATAGCACAATAGTAAGTATTTTTTCATCTCAAATATACAAACATAGAAAGAGCACAGTAAAAATATAATATAAAAGATGAAAAATGGAATACCGGCATAGAACACTTACCATGAGATAACCTTTTAAAGACCGAAACTTGCTCTGGGGGTAAGTAAGTGAATGGTGAGTTAATGTGAAAGCCTAGCACATTTCTGTACATTACTGTGGAATGTATAAACACTGTACATCTAGGCTGCACTAAATTAATAAACAATACTTTTTCTTTAATAATAACTTAATCATAGCTTTCTGTAACTTTTTTTACTTTACAAACTTTAACTTTTAAACATTTGATTTTTTAAATAACACTTAACCACACTGTACAGATGTAAAAAACATTTTCTTATATCCTTATTCTAAAAGCTTTTTTCTATTTTTAATTTTTTTAGCTGTTAAACTCTATGCTAATTGTTACACAAACATATGCATTAACCTAGGCCTATACAAGGTCAAGATCATCAATATCACTGTCTTCTGCCTCCACTTCTTGTCCCAGTGGCAGGTTTCTAGGGGCAATAAGACACGTGGAGCTTTCATCTCTGCCTTCTTCTGGAATGCCTCCTGAAGGACATGCCTGAGGTTGTTTTACAGTTAACTTTTTTTTTAAGTAGAAGGAATACACTCTAAAATAGTGGTAAAAATAGTATAGTATAGTATAGTATAGTATAGTATAGTATGTACTTAAACCAGTAACATAGTCATTTATTATCATTATAAGGTACTATGTACTGTACATAATTGTATGTGGTATACTTTTTTATATGACTGATAGTGCAGTAGGTTTGTTTACACCATTACTACAAACATGTGAGTAGTGCATTGTGAACAATGGTTGCATTGTCACTAGCTAATAGGAATTTTTCAGCTCCCATATAATCTTATGGGGCCATCATCATATAAGCGGTTTTTCATTGATCAAAATGTCATGATGCAGTTCATAACTGTACTTGAACCAGTTCCATCATGTCCCAGAGTATTTGATCTGACCACTATGCTCTACCACCTCCAATCTTAAACACTAGTATAGAAACCAGACACTAAGATGTTAACACTTGAAAAATATATGAATGTTTTTACTTACCAAATACCCTCTTTAATATTTTTGTGGTTATTTCTATAGCCCTTGTAAAATATGCCATACATTAAGGAAATTGTCTTAAATCATTTGTGATATTTTCAGATTCATTAACAGTTTTAATAAAAGCAATTTTTTAATTTAAATAGAATTTATATTCTCAGAAGCTTTTTTTCTTTTTTTAAGAAGAGACAGAATCTCGCTGTGTTGCCCAGGCTGGAGGGCAATGGCCTGATCTTGGCTCACTGCAACTTCTGCCTCCTGGGTTCAAGCGATTCTCATGCCTCAACCTCCCAAGTAGCTGGGACTGCGGACGTGCACCACCACACCTGGCTAATCTTTGTATTTTTAGTAGAGACAGGGTTTCACCATGTTGGCCAGGCTGGTCTCGAACTCCTGGTATCAAGACATCCACTAGCCTCAACCTCCCAAAGTGCTGAAATTACAGGTGTGAGCCACTGCGCTCAGCCACAGAGGCTTGTTTTAATCACCTAATCCTTTTTCATTTACACTGCTCAAAGTTAAAAAGAAAGTGAAGAAATTTCACAAATGCAGTTAAATGTCTTTCAGTTATGTGTTTTATTGGAATGGAATGTTTAAGAAACTCAGCAATGATTTTGATATTTTTCTACTATCATATATATTAATATGTAAATTTAAATAATTATATTTTGATAATTCTAAATGCAGAAATGTTCAGAAAATAACATACAGAATTATTGTCTATGTCAAATTAAGAAGACAGAAGAAAACTATACATACAATTTGGAGTCAGTAGAAAAAGTAAGCCATCAGATATTCTTCCTGATACCCAAATACTACCCAATATGGTTAATATTTAGACTCATTGTTTCTGCTGAATGTGTGTGTGTGTCCTAACTTTCAATAGAACTTTGCATTTAAACATCTCAGGAGATTTATTCATTCCACAGCTACTTATTGATTTCTTAGTGCCTGAACAGAACTATTTTAGGAAGTGAAGATATAGCAGTAAACACAACAAACTCTGATTCTCATGCACTTTGTCTCATGGGAGGGCTTAGAATGTAAACAAATAAGTATGTCAGGTAGTGTTAAGGTCTATGAAGAGAAACAAAGTGAGGGAAGAGAGTCGAGGCTTTGGGATGGGGAGGCTGGTGGCATTTTATGTAGAGTGGTAATGGAAGGCATCTATGATAAGATTAATCAGCTGAGAAAACTGAGAAAGCAAGCCATGTAAATATCCTTGATATAGTTTTGACATTTGTCTCCTCCAAATACCATGTTGAAATGTGATCCCCAGTGGTGGTGGTGGGATCTAGTGGTAGCTGTTTGTGTCATGGAGGTGGATCCCTCATGAATGACATGATGTTGTCCTTGGAGTAATGTGTGAGTTCTCACTCTTTTAGTTTATGTGGGAGCTGGTTGTTTAAAGAGACTAGCACCCTTCAAGGACTTCATGTCTAAAACACCAAAAGCAATGGCAACACAAGCCAAAATTGACAAATGGGATCTAATTAAACTAAAGAGCTTCTGCACAGCAAAAGAAACTACCATCAGAGTGAACAGGCAGCCTACAGAATGGGAGAAAATTTTTGCAATCTACTCATCTGACAAAGGGCTAATATTCAGAATCTACAATGAACTCAAACAAATTTACAAGAAAAAAAACAAAAAACCCCATCAACAAGTGGGCAAAGGATATGAACAGATACTTCTCAAAAGAAGACATTTATGCAGCCAACAGACACATGAAAAAATGCTCATCATCACTGGCCATCAGAGAAATGCAAATCAAAACCACAATGAGATACCACCTCACACCAGTTAGAATGGTGATCATTAAAAAGTCAGGGAACAACAGGTGCTGGAGAGGATGTGGAGAAATAGGAACACTTTTACACTGTTGGTGGGACTGTAAACTAGTTCAACCATTGTGGAAGTCAGTGTGGTGATTCCTCAAGGACCTAGAACTAGAAATGTCATTTGACCCAGCCATCCCATTACTGGGTACATACCCAAAGGATTATAAATCATGCTTCCATAAAGACACATGCACACATATGTTTATTGCGGCAATGTTCACAGTAGCAAAGACTTGGAACCAACCCAAATGTCCAACAATGACAGACTGGATTAAGGAAATGTGGCACATATACACCATGGAATACTATGCAGCCATAAAAAAGGATAAGTTCATGTCCTTTGGGACATGGATGAAGCTGGAAACCATCATTCTCAGCAAACTGTTGCAAGGACAAAAAACCATACACCACATGTTCTCACTCATAGGTGGGAATTGAACAATGAGAACACATGGACACAGGAAGGGGAACATCACACACCGGGGCCTGTTGTGGGGTGGGGGGAGCAGGGAGGGATAGCATTGGGAGATAATACCTAATGTAAATGAGGAGTTAATGGGTACAGCACACCAGCATGGCACATGTATACATATGTAACAAACCTGCATGTTGTGCACATGTACCCTAAAACTTAAAGTATAATAAAAAAAGTCATGGGTACACTAAAAAATAAAATAAAATAAAAAGATACTAGTACCCTTCCTCTCGCTTGATCCCTTTCTTGCCATGTGACATGCATGTTCCCCTTTCAGCTTCTGCCATGAGTAAAAGCTGCCAAGGCCTCACTAGAAGGCTTGCAGATGCTGGTGTCCTGCTTGTACAGCCTGCAGAATCATGAACCAAATAAATCTCTTTTCTTTACCCCGGATCAGGTATTCCTTTATAGAAATGCAAAATGGACTAATAAAATCCTAGTAAAGGTAATTCCTGGGGAAAAAAAAAAGCCCTTCAGAAGGGAAACTGTGCAGTGCATCGTTCAAGGAACTGCAACAGTCCAGTGTGGCTAAAGCAGAACTAGTGAAAGGAAGAGAATGGTGAGGTCAGAGAGCTGGTGATACACCAGGTCATGCAGCAACACTGGGAATTCACATTTTGAACAGAAGTAGCATGATGTGATTTAAGTCTTTAAAATCTCCTGGCGTTTATGAGGCAAGGGTGGAAATGGGAAGAAGAATTACAAGTGTATTGTAGTAATCAAGATTATAGAAGTGGTGGTATTGATAGAAGTAGTTAGGAGTTGTTAAATTCTGAATACATTTTAAAAGTAGAACCAAATAGATTTTATGATGGATTACGTAAAGAATGCTAAAGAAATAAACCAAAGATGATTTCTAGGTTTGACATCAGCAACTGCCTAAATGGTAAAGATGGTTACTGAGATAGGGAAGGATAGGTGTAGTAATCATAAGTGTGTTAGGATATATCAAGTTGGTGATACCTATTATAATTCCAGGGAGATAATTGAGGAGAATGTTAGATTTGTGACTCTGGCATTAAGGGGAACAACTGACATATAAGTGGGGCCATTGCCAACAATGACATTTAAGGCCATGGGACTAAATGATATCACCCCAAAGAATGCATGTTATTAGGAAAGGGGTTTGAGGTCATCTCTGGTGACTTCTACATTTAAAGATTATAAAAAGAATGAGGAGCAAGTTTTGGAAGTTGAGGATAAGAGATGAAGGTGAAGAAGAGCCGTTTATGAGAGTCAAAGGGTAAACTGACTAGGAAACTACATTAGGACTATGTAGCATTACAGGTCCAGTTGATTTTTGTGGTAATGTTTAAAATTAGACTATCAGTATAGTTCTTATTAGATACAGGCACAAAATACATGGCAAGCTAAACTTAACCAAGGTTTTTGTTTTTCTAGAAAAGCACAAAGGAAGAAGAGAATTTAAGGGCATATGCAGGTATGTGATTCTGATTATGCTACATGGAGTGTAAGCTGGGTAAGTAGCGAACTGAGGACATTAGGTATGTGTGAAAGTTAGTGGGTTGGCAGACCCAATAGGGCTAAAATAATTTTGAAGGAATGAACTGAAAAGGTAGGAGGAAGTGACCAGAGACTTGATTGCTTGAAATCAATGCTACGGAACATATGCCATTGTTGATAATGACAAGATGATGGAGTGTGGCCACAAGATTTGAGAGTTGCGCTAGGGTGCAACATGTTATTGCTGGAGGTGAAGCAACTGAGAGGCCAGGCTACTCTAAGTTTCATCTACACAGATACTGAGATTGCCAGGAATAAAAAAGATGGCATAGATCAGAAAATATATATGATAGGCCAGAAACTAAACTTCTCAAGAAATGAAGAGGAATAATCCGTAAATTGTATAAACAGGTTATTCATCTCTAGGATCTATAATATCCACAGAAGATTTAAGAAATGTTTTATGTAAGTCCTCAGATATGTCTTCAAAATATTGTCATTATTTGCCAACTAAGCCAATAGTGTTATTTCTTACTTTCAGAAGCATTTGTTTTCTAAACTTTTTATTTTTTGCTTTATATGTATTAGCTTGTATTTATTTCTTTATATCTCTGTGCAAATGTAAACTCTGTCCAAATGTAAACTCTTGAAAATAAAGAAAATAGTTTCTACATTTTTAGAATTAATAATGCTGATAAACAATTGACTTTCAAAAGACATTTGCTACATTAATCAAGACCTGGGTCTTTTATTGATGAAAGACTTTTTTTTAATGATTTAATTTTCTCACTCATTACTTGTCTGTCTAGAGTTTCTATTTATTCATAATTTAATCTTGATAGGGTGCATGTGTCTAGGAATTTATCCATTTTTTATGTTCTCAAATTTGTTGGCCTATACTTGTTTATAATACACTTTTATGAATTTTTTTGTATTTCTGTGATACTAGTTGTAATGTCTCCCTTTTCATCTCTGATTTTATTTCCATATTTTCTCTTTTCTTTAGCTAATGATTTTTGTTTAGTTTTTCAAATAACCAATTCTTAATTTCATTGATATTTTGAATGCTTTTAGTCTGTATATTGTTTATTTCTAGTATTAGCTTCATTGTTTTTTTCTTCTACCAATTTTAGGCTGAGCTTGTTCACTGCTGAATTCTACCAAACATTTAAGTAACAACTAATACCAATCATCCTCAAACTAATCCAGAATATAGAAAATGAGAAAAAAAAACTTTCAAATTCATTTCATATACCAGTATTACCCTGATTTCAAAACCAAACAAGAATACAACAACAAAAACTATAGGTTTCTTGAACATAGATGGAAAAATTTTCAACAATATACAAGCAAACCAAATTCAACAGCACGTTAAAGACATCATCTATTGTGATCAAGTGGGATTAATCCCAGGGATGCAAGGAGAGTTCACCATATGCAAATTAATATATTTGATACACCGCATTAAGAAAACAAACAAGACCATATGATCATCTTAATAGACACAGAAAAAGTATTTAATAAGATTTAACAAGGCTTCATGATTAAAAAAAAACTCTCAACAAATTAGACATAGACTGTATGTACCTCAGTACAATAAAGGCCATATATTACAAACCCAAAGCTAACATGCAAACTAGTGAATTGGGAAAAACTAAAAGCTTTTTATCTAAGATTAGGAATAGGACATAGATGACCACTGTTACCACTTCCACATAGCACTGGAAGACCTAGCCAGACCAATTAGGCAAAAGAGAAAAATGAAAGGCATCAAATTGGAAAGGAGGAAGCCAAATTGTATCTATTTGCAGATGGCATTATCTTATATATAGAAAACTCTAAAGACTACACAAAAATCTGTTAGAAGTAATAAACAAATAAAGTCATGGTATAAAAAGTCAACGTAACAAAAATCAGTAGTGTATCTACATGCTAACAGCAAGCTATCTCAAAAATAAATCAAGAAAACAATTCAATTTAAATATATATAAAAATAAAATACCTAGAAATAACCTTAACAAATAAGAACTATAAGAGAGTAATAAAGAAAACAGAGACATGAAAAAATGGAAAGATATCCCATGTTAACAGATTGAAAGAATTAATTTTCTCAAATGGCCATACTACCCAATGCAATCTACAGATTTAATGCAATACCAATGAAAATACAAATGACATTCCTCACAGGAATACAAAAACAAATCCTAAAATTCATATGGAACCACAAAATATCTTGAATAGCCAAAGGAATCCTGAGCGAAAAAAATGAGGTTGGAGCCATCATGCTACCTAACTTCAAAGTATATTACAAGACTATAGTAATCAACAAAGTATGATATTGGTATTAAAACAGGCACAAGGAATAACGGAACAGAACAAAGAGCCCAGAAATAAATTCACACATCTATAGTCAAGTGGTTTTCAATAAAAGTTTCAACAACACACACTGGGAAAAATTTCTTCAATAAATGGTGTTGGGAAAATTGGATATCCAGCTGCAGGAGAATGAGACTAGAATCCTGCCTCTCACCATATACAAAAATCAACTCAAAATAGATTAAAAACATGCATATAACACTCAAAAGTATTAAAATACTAGAAGAGAACATAGTGCAAATGCTCTGTGACATTGGGAGGGGCAAGGAGTGTTTAAATAAGACCTCAAAAGCACAGGCAACAAAAACAAAAAGAAACAAAATGAACTACATCAAACTGAAAAGTTTTTTTATAGCAAAGGAAACAATTAACAAAATGAAAAGATAATGTTCAAATTGTGAGAAAATATTTCCAAGCTATACAGCTGACAAGGGGTTAATACCTAGAATATATAAAGAATTTAAACAACTCACCATAAACCAAATAACCTGATTAAAAATGGTCAAAATACTTTAATAGTCATGTCACAAAAATGGACATATAAATGGCCAACTGGTATATAAAAATGTTTAATATCACTAATTATCAAGGAAACACTAATCAAAACCACGTTGAGATACTATCTCACGCCAGCTGGAATAACTGTTAACAAAAAAAAGAAGAAAAAAAAGAAAAAAAGAAAAGTCTTGGTGAGTTTGTTGAGAAAAGTGAACACACTGTTGGCATGATTATAAATTAGTACAGCTACTATGGAAAACAGCATGTAGATTTCTCAAAAAAATACAAATAGTACTACCATATGAATACCTATGTGACTGATAGATACCATAGGATCTTTCAATCCCACTACTGGGTATACATGCAAAGAAAATAACATCAGTATGTCAAAAAGATGTCTGCACTTCCTTCACTATTGCTGCACTAGTTAGAGCAGACAAGATATGGAATAAACTCAAGTGTCCAACAATTAATGAATAAATAAAAAATGTAGTATATATACACAATTAAATACTATTTAGCCATAAAAAGGATTAAAATCCTGCCGCTTATGAAACAAGGATCGACCTAGAGAACATTATGTTAAATAAAATGTTAGACACTGAAAGACAAATACCACATGATCTCACTAATACGTGGAATTAAGAAACAAAAGAGTTGATATCATAGAAGCGGGGAGTGGAACAGTGGTTACTAGAGACTGGGAAGCAGTGGGGAAAGGGAGGGTGGAGAGAGGGTGGTTAAAAGGTACAATGTGACAATTAGATTGGAGGAATGAATTCTGATATTTCATTGCACAGTAGAGTGAGTGTGGTTAACTGTAAAGTACTGTATATTAGCAGATAGCTGGAAAAGAAGCTTTTGAATGCTCAGCACAAAGAAATAAATACATATATTTATTTATATGTATGATGCATATAAATATCATGCATAATAATGATGCATATAAATATCATGATTTGATCATTATATAACATATATGTATTTAAACATCAAATTGTACTTCATAACTATATACAATTATAGTGTGTAAATTTTAAAAAATAAAAATAAATAAATATTTGTTGTTTGATGATGAAAAACTATTACATAGATTAGGACAAATTCTGCTTAATTATTAAATCCCCCATTCTCCTAATAGTATTACATGGCACCACTAAAAATACTAACGACAGCAGCAGAATTTTATTTAGTATTTATCAACATTCCTGTAGGTAAAAACATGCTAATTAAAATTGTGGTGTAATTCTATACAATCTTCAATTTTACAGTGGGTTTCAGACCCTTAATTTATCTTTTCTGTATTCTTTAAGAATTTTGATGTTATGCTTGCCTCCCAAGTTCTTACACACTTATTTTCTTGAAATAACTGATATGTCATATCTTTAACAAAAATTCAGTTAAAACGCATGCAAATGCTAAGATTTATGTATTATCCTTCACTGTTTGTTACACAGAGGTAGTCTCAATTAAATTATTACTGGTGCTACTGTTTATTTGTCTTCTGAAGTTTGCCTTCTGCCCCATAATTCCCTGCTCTGTTGCTCCTCTAGCCTCTTGAACCTCATCTTACAGACACTGTCTTGACTACTAACTCCCAATTTTAAAATATGCCCATTCTTTATGATTTAAAAGACAATTTTAATAATAAAATGTGAGATTTTCTTCACATGTGTGTAAGAATTTTAAGTGTCAGGGCACCTTACATATTCTTATGATTCTAAAAAGATATCTGCCCAGAAATCTAAAAGCAAGCTAAATACTATGCCAAATGAGGTAACAGCAGACAGGATTCAAGTTATTAGACCTCTAGAACCTGCTTTCATTTTTATATACACACATGCATGTATAGAGACAAACATACAAAGATACACTATATATACAGACACAAGTTGTTTAACAAGAGGGATACCTTCTGAAAAACGCATCAATAGGCAATTTTCTTGTGCAAACATCATAGAATGTATTTACACAAGCCTACATGATATAACCTACTACACACCTAGGCTATACAGTACAGCCTATTGCTCCTCAGCTACAAACCTGTACAACATGTTACTGTACTTTTAATACTGTAGACAATGGTAACACAACAGGATTTGTCTGGCTAAACATATCTAAACATAAAAAAGTACAGGAAAATACAGTACAAAATATAAAAAAATGGTATACCAATATTGGACATTTACTGTGAATGGAGTTTGCAGGATTAAAAGTCGCTCTGGGTGGGTGAATGAGTGAGTCAGTGTTGTGTAAATGTGGCAGACTACAACATTACTGAACATTACTGTACACTACTGTGGACTTTATAAGTAGTGAAATTTATTTTAAAATTTATCTTTAATAATAAATTAGACTTAGCTTACTGTAACTTAGCTTATTTAGTTACAGTAAGCTAATTTATTACTGAAGAAAGATAATTTTTATGTTGATTTTTAATTTTCTCTGTAATTTTTTAATTTTTTGACTCAAAACACAAACATTGCACAGCTGCACAAAAATATTTTGTCTTTATGTCCATATTTTATAAACATTTTTTCTATTTTTAATAATTTTTAATTTTATTTATTAATTTTGCTTTTTAGACTTTTTTTGTTAAAAACGAAGACATGAAAACATATATTAGCCTAGATCTAAACTGAGTCAAGATTATTAAGATGTCACTAAACAATAGGAATTGTTCAGGTTTCATGGGACTACCATGGTATACTCAGTATGTAGTTGACTAAAATGTTAGGCAGCACACGGCTCTATAAGAATAACATAAAGCAAAAGCCTACAATTCTCCCATAAAATCCAAAGCATATGAACTGCTATGAAAGCATATATGTTTTTAATATTTAGGATATTTTTAGAGTAGGTAGCCAGGCACATGAGGCCAGGAGAGGATCCCTCCCCTGAGGAATGTCTGACGACCATCAGGTGATGGTCAGTTAGTCGTTAAACTCTCTCTAAAATAATAAATGATCACAGCCTGTGCCAGGGTAAGGCAGTCTTCCATTAATAGGAAACAACTGAAGCTTGTTATCAGCAGATTCTTCATAAGATCTCAGGGCTTGGGTGAGCAGGCTCAAGCATGCACACTAAGAGACAAAATGGTAGTTTAACCAGCATATGACCTTCCTCTAGGAACAGTCCACTGGTAAGGGAAAAGCATTTCAGGTGAGCATGCACACAACTTCAGTAAACACCCTGCACGTGGCCCCTCATGCTGGCAGGCCACCATGCATGTGGGCAACCTGCTTTAAGGAAAGAATCTGGGGAGAAGAAATGCAAACTCCGGAACCATGCCAATGTATGAAACCCCAAGTCAAGAGTTGGACAGGACACTTGGATCTCTCAAGTAACTCACTCATCTGGCCCTCTTCCAAGGGTACTTTACTTTCTTTTGTTCTGGTTCTAAAACTTTTACATAAACTCACTCCTGCCCTAAAACTTGCCTTAGTCTCTCTCTCTGCCTTATATCTACGTTTGCTTCTTGGCCAAATTATTTCCTCCAAGGAGTCAAGAACCAAGTTGCTGTAGACCTGTATGGATTCGCTGCTGGTAACATACTTCGGTGCTGCGACTTGGATACATTCCCTAGTATTATGGAGCCACAAGATGAGATTAGGGTGAGGACACAGAGCCAACCACATCAAAAAGCAAGGAATAGACGTTTCTTACCACTATAACTTGTTTCTCCTATCTAACTGAAACGTTGGATGCTTTTCTATGGATATCTTTAATGAAAAAATAAAAACTGTGTTCTTCACTATCAAATCTTCGTGAAGATACACGAAAATAAACAGTATTTCTCACTGAAATAATATTTCCAGATTAGTGGTGAAGTCTGTTGATTTAATTTATATTTTTTAGACTTCTTGTGTTAGGCTATTCATGCATTTCTATAAAGAAATACCCGAGGCTGAGTAATTTATAAAGAAAAAAATGTTTAATTGGCTTATGTTTCTACAGGCTGTCATAGCTCTGGCATCAGCTTCCGTGGAGGTCTCCGAAAACTTAAAATCATGGTGGAAGGTAAAGCGGAAGCAGGCACTTGACATGGCAAAAGCAGGAGCAAGAGAGAGAAAGAGTTGTCGGGGAGGTGCTACGCACTATTTTTTTTTTTTTTTTTTTTGTGAGACGAAGTCTCGTTCTGTCGCCCAGGCTGGAGTGCAGTGGCGCCATCTCAGCTCACTGCAAGCTCCGCCTCCCGGGTTCACGCCATTCTCCTGCCTCAGCCTCCTGATAGCTGGGACTACAGGTGCCCGCCACCACGCCCGGCTAATTTTTTTGTATTTTTAGTAGAGACGGGGTTTCGCCATGTTAGCCAGGATGGTCTCAATCTGACCTCGTGATCCGCCCACCTCGGCCTCCCAAAGTGGTGGGATTACAGGTGTGAGCCACCTCCCCGGCTGGTGCTACACACTTTTAAATGACCGGATCTGTGAACTCAGAGCAAGAGCTCTCCTATCACCAAAGGAATGGCTCAAGCCATTCATGAAGATCTGCCCCCACGATCCAAACACTTCCCACTAGGCCCCATCTCCAGCACTGAGGATTCCATCTCAACATGACATCTGAGTAAGTACAAATATCCAAACTATATCACTTCTGTATCAAGTAATTGAAACGTATTTGAAAAATAGAAAATACAAGAAGAAACAAAAGCAGAATAATGGGATTCCTCCTAATCTAATGTAATTGAATGGCTTTATTGCAATTTCCATTTATGGTTTATTTGAACACTTAGGCCACATACAGTTTTCTTGGTTTGTTTTTCACCGAATGCTGCTATCACCAAATCCAAAGTAGAGCCATGGATGGAAGAGTGAGAGAGGTAGTAGTGGTGAACTAAAATAATCACACCCTCTCAGTGATCTAAAAATGCTCATTCAAAGCAGCACAGGTGGTACAATCCTCCAAGCCTGTGTTTGGTAATCTCTAATAATCATATCGCTGTTTTTTTCTTTTTTTTTTTGCTACCTATTTTTTTCTGATTCCTAAACCATTTATAGGATAAAGTAAATTTGATTATATGTGTACTTCAGATGTTTAAAATATTTAGGGTCTATGAATGTAGAAAAGGAACACAAGTGGTATTTTTCAGAAACATTGTTGTATGAATAGACCTAAAAGTAATTCATATACAGTACATATGTTTTTGAAGAAGCATAATAATAGGTTATTTCTGTTCTCAAAGCTGGATTAAATTTGAATCTAAAAAGCAAAATATACTTTCTAGGCTGAGTTTAACGCATCTAAGAAATGTTTTATTTCTTTCATAGTATTTGTAGATTTGATATGTAGAATAATTAAGGAATGCAACATATCAGCTTGCAGTCTGGCAGTGGGGACTTAAGGAGAACAGATGAAGTGGAAGTCTCAGAAAGCAAAGAGCCAACTCTCTAGGCAGGTAAATGAGAAGAAGTAGACACATATTTATGGAAAGACAAGTCATGTAGTCAAAAGTCTGAGCATGTGCTCAAGAGGAACCAATGCAAAAGAAGAATGTTGCTATATTATTATATATTATATATAAAATAAAATATATTAATTTTGATAACTTATACAACAAATTATGTTATGTAAACACATAATGACTAAATATGTTTGAATTTTTTTTCCTATGGTTATTATTTCTGGATCTCACATAAGGTTACAAAATGTTGCACTACGCATGTGTATATTGGAAGTTTTAATTTTCCATTGCATAAAATATTTCAGGACTCACTACTATTCGACAGAGAGGTATACAAAAATCTAGCATTTTTTCTAGTCTTCTGATGGAAAAAATACTAAAATAAAACAACCAGAATCTGTTATGTTAGGGTCATAGATTTTTTTAACATCCTTATAACAGGGAAAATTTAAATTTTGTCCCCACTTATTTGACTTGGTCAAAAGCTAAGCTGAGAGTTTAAACAGTTCTCAAAAAATCTATTATTTTCTTGCCAATATGCCTAGAGATTTTATTGAGTTCTATCTCTTTCCTAGATTGGTAAATTTTCCCCTAATTATTTTGTAAAAATTAAATATGATGGCATTTCAGGAAGTAGATAATAAAACTGTATTCTCTTGCTGCTAAATTGTTGGATTGCTTTAGTTAATTCATGTATTCATGGTGGCTCTAAAAAGACCTATGACCATTTGTTTGTACCAAAATTAAATGTCAAAGTATCAGTATATCCTATATTTATATCTCTATTCACATTAACTATAATAATAATCCTGTCAAACCTCATTAATTTGGAATTCTCTAATACAGAAATTGTAATACTTCAAACAGGTGGTAGATTGATACTGTTTAAAAGAGTGTATCAAGCAAATTAATAAAGAACAAAGGGAAATACCACATACAGAGAAGACATAATTTTAAAATATATTAGAAACATTAATTTTACATACCAAAATATAACCCTAGTATAAGCAGAGAATAATAGGTTGAAATTTTATATACTCATTACAAATAATCTCCAAATGCATATTCAATTAATATTCCTACTAGGCTAGGGTATGAATTTAACACAATATGTTTTTACTTTTCAAAACAGAATAGAAATAGTAATAATTCTATTCCTATATTATTCTATCACCTAAGACCAATTAGTGAAACAAGAACAAATTTGAATTAAAAAAAAAAAACACTGCTTTTTTTCTGCACTGGAAAAGCATTATAAAGTTAGTGCTCTCGTCATTGAGATGATCTCTCTGCACCAAATATCCAATTACTAGAACATGACACTTTCTAAATACTATTAGAAGGTAATATGACAATACTGATTTATTCAATTTAGCAAATATTTATTGAAGACTCACTATGTACAAGGCACTGTCCTGATATATGATGCATAACAACACAGGTGCACAGACTACCGCTTTCTATAGCCAGTCTTAAAGTTGGATTCCCAAGAAACAATGTTTACCACCTAGTATAGCCCTTAGTTTCTACACGCAGAAAAACAAATATGAATCAAAAAGGAATGCTTTCGCTTTGAAGTAACCACTATCTAATAGCCTTTCCATATGTACCTAACTCGATATGCCTAAAACTTATCATAATTTATTTATCTCACTGAATTGCAATTAGAATAACTTTCTGAATATTGGAAACAAACTCAAGAGAAATAAAGTTTAAGACCTGTATGTCGTGGGACCTTTAAAGTGGTTTTGTACCAGAAAACCACTTTAAAGTGGTATTAATACCTGTGCCACCTAGAAATATAAGCAGAGACCTAGACAAACCATGTTTTCATTATTGTTTTTATCAAAGAAGGGTTAGAAGCAGGTATGATAATTTCAATTTTTATGTTAATACAATCTTTCTGTTCTGGAATAAATTCTAGCTACAGTGTCAGTATCAATAATAATCACACTTAACAGTGAGTGATCACTTACTATGCGACAGGTACAAAGCAGTCCATATAAAGTAACTCATTTAATCCTCTCAAAAGCTCTATTATACTAATTTCACTGATGAGTAAACAGGCTGTGCAGAATGATTATGTAAACTGTGGATACACGTGTCCAATTATTATGTATCAATTTAAAAATAATAATAAAAATCAAAGCTGCTAAACAAACAGCATTTCAATCTAGGTAGTCTTTCTCTAGAAAGCCAGGGTCTTAATTACTAAACAAAACCAATCTCTTTCTAGATCATCTTGTCTTAATTGTCTTTTTTCTTGATTATTTAAAGATTAAATGCAAACTGATAATGATAAATCATATATTAAATCTTGTCAGGATCTGGATGTTTATAACGCCTGGCATATGCCATATCCTTTGCGATATCCCAGAATTTGGATGGTTGCCCAAGAGACTGTTTGTGTTCAAATTTTCTTACATATATACTAGAAGTGATAGTTGCAAAAACCTATGGAAAGAAGCAAAACGTCGAGACCCCTGGGTTCTGCCCTGCCTCCCTGTAATCATGTTTTAGCTCAGTTAGAAAGGAACTGGTAATGTATCCATACTGTATTTGGAGGTCAGCTACCCCCTGCAACTCTTGTACAATTTAATTCCTAAACTTTCTTCAGATAGACTTATGTATTTTATTTACTGAAGATTATCCAGTCTTTTGCTAACTGAGTGATTTCCTAAACAAAATGTAGAAATTCATTCATCCATATAATAAATATTTACTGAATGTCTGCTCAAAATGAAAGGAATACACAAGGAATACACACAGTCCTTCACAATGGTTTTATGTTGTAAAATACGATATCCCATGTAGTTAAAATAAGAGAACAAAATAAAATTCATACATTTACGAATAACCAGCATACTTAGTTTTACAGCATTATATATGAACATGGAAAGGAAACATTGCATGTTCTATTAGTCCATTCTCACTTTGCTATAAAAAATTATCTGACACTATGTCATTTATAAAGAAAAGAGGTTTAATTGTCTCACAGTTCTACAGGCTATACAGGAAGTATAATGCTGGCATCTGGTCTGCTTCTGGGGAGACTTCGGGAAACTTATTTATGGTGGAAGGTGAAGTGGGAGCAGACATGTCACATGGCCAGAGCAGGAGCAAGAGTAAGAGGGGGAGATGCCACACACTTTTAAATAACCAGATCTCATGAGAATTCACTCACTGTCATGAAAAAGGTATCCAGAAGATGGTACTAAACCATTCATGAGAAATCTGCCTCCATGATCCAATCACCTCCCAACAGGCCCCACCTCCAACATTGGAGAATTAAATTTGAACATGAAATTTGGGTGGGGACAACATCCAAACTATGTCATATGCATTAAAGTTTATATTTATATTTAGTATTATTAGCTCGCATTATTATATTATAATTAGCTATTATTCACCAGCAATCTAATTGGGTACTAATTTGAATTTTTTTCTAATTTCTAATATAGTAGACATAGAAACAAGTATGAATTGACACTATATTATTCAAAGGGCACTCATTTTTCATTGGGAAATTATTACTCAAATGGCCAAGTAATGTAAAAATTGAAAAATATATCTGAAATGATCTGGTGAAAAATGAACATTTCTATCCTCCAAAAATAAATTGGGGAATGTATGACTACATAATTAGTGACATTATGCTCATTCACTTCACATAAGATAATGAATGAGACAACTTAAGAATATAGAAAGCAATGTAATTTATAATTTACTCTTCAACTAATGGCATTTTTCAATAAAGAACACAGGATGAACTAAGTTGAGGTGGGCTGGTTTGAGTTCCACTCCACAGATCATGAAGAATGTGTACACATACTGTGCATGGTAGATTGTCAGAATGTATAAGCAGAAATACTCAAATGAATCTCTTCAAATCAACAGTTATAAAGAAGGTTTGGAACTTTCTTACCGTGGAAACGGAAATGAGTTTAGCACTAAGTATCACCTAATGAGGAGCACAATGGACACAGGAAGGGGAACATCACACACCAGGGCCTGTTGTGGGGTTGGGGGAGGGGGCAGGGATAGCATTAGGAGATATACCTAATGGTAAATGACGAGTTAATGGGTGCAGCACACCAACATGGCACATGTATACATATGTAACAAACCTGCACGTTGTGCACGTGTACCCTAAAACTTAAAGTATAATAAAAAAAAAAAAAGAGAGAAGGGTAGAGGAGGAAAAATGAGTGATAGCCTTTTACTACCCCCTGGAACAAAGCTTGACCTAATATTATGACATTGTTGAAGCCAGTTCCCTTCTCTTCCTTTTGAAGAAAAACATTTAGTCCCAGATATTCCTAGAAAACTACTGGCAATTTCTTTAGCATAGAACAAACAAGATCAACTTTGGTGAGACAAAAGAGATTTTAATGGTGATTTTGAAATACAATATGAAAAAATCCACAAAATAATAGAAAAATCTTATGATTTTAATGTAGTTAGAGATCCAAGATACAGTATTCTTCAGGAGTCATCTCTGAATTCTAGTGGATCTGTATTGCAACAGCAATATGTAGTTTGTGGGACAAGATGGGGGATGGAGATTGGAGATCACGCAGATCAATGTGTGAAAACCCATAGTAAAAGTGGCAAGACAAAAGGCAGGCCCTGTTCTAGTTGGTTTTGTTAGAAGGGATTTAGGAAAGACATAGGAAAACATGAGTGAGCAGAAATAAAGTGTGAAACTACACACTGCAGTTTAACACATGAGGGCAGATGAAGTGAATCAATGCAAAAAGTTTGTGATTCAGCATAGTAGTTGTTTAACTGGATCATTCACAGGTACCTTGAAACCGTATAGGAATTAGAACTCAAATTCATCTTCACTCTGAGGCCATTGAATGTCAATATATAGTAGAAAGATTGAAATTAAATTCCCTACTAATATATAAATAAAACCTATGAAACAGGATGCATACATTTATATTATAAAAACAGCATGCATACATTTATATTATACTGGATGTAATGTAAAGAATTGAAGCTGGCAAAGTTTATTTAACTGCTTGAACAGAGCCATTCTGTCTGTGAGAACCCAGAATGAATCAGACCACATAAAACTATCAAATACAATTGTTTTCAGTCCCATATAAAGACTAATTAAATATGGCCTTCAATACTCTACTATTCTTTTGGTGTCAGAGAATTAAAAAGCAATTCACTTAATAGGCATTTTAGTTCCATAATCATTGAACAGGTGAGGTATATCAAAGCCAAGTGTTGCCTGTATAAAATGAATTCATGCATAATTCATATGCCTTGTGATATCATTTTATGAAACAAAAATAATTTAGATTATTTCCAAATAATCCCACCCTTTCTAGCAAGGTGATGGCTGTGAAGATCGTAGCCCACATTTATGTTAGGTATTGCTGGTGATACAGGGAGCAATGTGAACATTAATTTTGGAGAACTACAGTTGTGGACATGGACCTCTCTGGTGGCTCCTTGAAAGATCATCAATAGAAACTGTCTCTAAGGAAGCCTACACATTGGACTCACCAGACAATGACATTAAATTATGTGTCAAAATATTCAAATATCTAAAGAAACTCATGAACAAAGCCTAAAAGAAACTAGATGAATGATGCCTTACCAAGTAGAAAATACAGCAAAAGAGATAAAACTTATAAAAAAGACCCAAAGAAATTCTGATAAAATTCTACAACTGAAAAGTACAATAACTACAATTTTAAAAATATACTAGACTAGTTCAACAGTAAATATAAACAAGTAGAATAATCAACCAACTTGAATGTAATTCAAATGATATCTAGTTTGAGAGCAGAAAGTAAAAAATAATGAAAAAAGTAAACAGAGTCTAAGAAACCTGTTTGACAACATCAAGCATGTCAACATACACACAGTAGAAGTCCTAGAAGGAAGAAAAATAGGGCAAAGGACAGAAAGAATATTAGAAGAAATATTCACTAGACACTTTCAGAGATCTGAATCTACACATACAAGAAGTATAATGAACTCCAAGTAGGACAATCTCAAAGATATCCACAATGAAACATTTTATAATCAAAATGTTGAAAAGTAAAGAGAAAGGGGGGATCTTGACAGCATCAAGAGAGGCAATATTTATCACATACAAGTATTCATCAATAAGATTAACAGCAGGTTTTACATCAGAAAAAATGGAGAACAAATGACAGCGGAATGACATGTGTAAAATGCTGAAAGAATATAAAACATCAAACAAGAAGTCTGTATCTAGCCATACCATTCTTTAAGAATAGGCAAGTGGGATCCCATCAAGTTAAAAGGCTCTTGCACAGCAAATGAAACAATCAAAAAAGTGAAGATACAACCCACAGAATGGGATAAAATATTTGCAAACTATTCATATGGTAAGGAATTAATAACCAGAATATGTAAGATGCTCAAACAATTCAACAGGAAATAAATCTAACAATCTGATTTTAAAATAGGCAAAAGAACTGAATAGACATTTCTCAAAAGAAAACATACAAAGGGCAGAGGGGTATGTGAAAAAGTGCTCAAAATCATTGATCATTTGAGAAATGTAAATCAAAACTACAATGAGACATGTAACGTCAAAATCATTGATCATTTGAGAAATGTAAATCAAAACTACAATGAGACATGTAACCTCAGTTAAAATGGCTTTTATCCAAAAGGCAGGCAATAACAGTGCTGGTGAGGATGTGGAGAAAAGGGGGCCCTTGTACACTGTTGGTGGGAATGTAAATTAGTAAGTCACTATGAAGCACAGTATGGCTGTCTCTAGAAAAACTAAAAATAGAATTATCATATTATCCAGCAATCCTACTTCTAGGTATACACTCAAAAGACAGGAAATCAGTACATCGAAGAGATATCTGTACTTCCATGTTTATGGCATCACTGTTCACAATAGCCAAGATTTGAAATCCATGTAAGTGTCCATCAACAGATGACTGGATAAAGAAAATGCAGTACTTATACATAATGGAATACTATTCAGCCATAAAAATAAATGAGATCCTGTCATTTGCAAACACATGGACAGAAGTGGAGGTAACTATGTTAAGTGAATTAAGCCAGGCATAGTAAAACAAACAGCACGTGTTCACACTCATTTGTAGAAGCTATAACTTAAAACAGTTGATCTCATGAAGGTAGAGAGGAGAATGATGGCTACTACGGGCTGGCAAGGATAGTGGGGGTGGGGGGGGAAGTTTGGATGGTTAATGGGCACAAAAATATAGTTTCATAGAGTTAATATCCAGTAATTAGTAGCACAACGGGGTGACTGCAGTAAATAACAACTCATTGTACATTTTAAAATAACTTAAAGAGTATATTTGGAATGTTGTTAACACACATAATTGATAAATGTTTGAGATTAATACCCCATTTATTCCAGTGTAATTATTAGACTTTGTATGCCTTTATCAAAATATCTCATATACCCTGTAAATATCCCACCTAATATGTTTGCATACAAATTTAAAAATGTTAAATTAATAAGTCCTTAAAAGCACAGACAACACAAACAAAAATAGACAAATAGGATTATATCAGACTAAAAAGCTTCTACACAGAAAAGGCAACCATAGAGTGAAGACACAATCTGCAAAGTGGGAGAACATTTTTACAAACTATTTGTCTGACAAGGGATTGATATCCAGAATATACAAGGAGCCAAACAACTCAACAGAAAACAACAAATAATCTGACTAAAAAAATGGATGTAAGAAATTACATAATGAGTACAATGTCAACTATTCACCTGATTGTTACACTAAAAGCCCAGACATCATCACTACACAATATATCCTTGTTAAAAAAACTGTACTTGTACTCCTTAAATTTATACGAGTAAAAAGTTACAATTATTCATTTAAAAATTGGCTAATAATCTGAATAGACATTTCTCAAAATAAGACATACAAATGACAAATCACGTATATGAAAAAATGTTTAACATCACTAATGTTGGGAAACTAATCAGGGAAATGCAAATCAAAACCACTATAAGATATTAGATAGAATGGTTTTTATAAAAAAGGCTGAGAATAACAAATGTTGGTGAGGATTGGGAGAAAAGGGAACTCTAATACACTGGTGGGAATGTAAATTAGTACGGCCATTATGGAAAACAGTATAGGGATTCCTTAAAAAACTAAAAGTAGAATTACCATATGATTCAGTAATCTCTCTACTGAGTACATATCCAAAAAGAGAAGTTACTATGTTGAAGAGATATCTGTAGCCTCATGTTTATTGCAGCAGCATTTACTATAGTCAACATATGGAACCAACCAAAGTCTTCATCAATAGATGAATGAAGAAAATATGGTGTATATACACAATGGAATGTTATTCAGCCTTTAACAAATGAAATCATGTTTCCTGGACAAGCCTGGAAGACATTAAGTGAAATAAGCCAGGCAGTTTTTTCAGCATCATTTTTTGCAGGAACTATCTTTTTCTCATTATGTATTCTTGGCACCCTCATCGAAATCAGTTGACCTTTTATGTAATGGCTTATTTTTGAACATTCTATTCTGTTCCTTTGGTTTATATATATGCTTTTATGCCAGTAACATAGTGTTTTAATTACTATCCCTTTGTAATATATTTTGAAATCCAGAAGTATGACTCTTCCAGCTTTGTTGTTCATTCTAAAGATTGCTTTAAATGTCTGATATCTTTTGTAGTCCCTCATAAATTTAAGGTTTTCTTCTGAGATTGTAACAAATGTCATTGTAATTTTGATAGGGATAGTATTGAATCTGTAAATCACTTACAGTACAAACATTAAAAAATATTAAGTCTTCCAATCTATAAGTACAGGATGTCTTTCATTTCTTCAGGGGTTTCTTTGATTTTTTTCATCAGGATTATATCGTTTTCTGGGGGGGTTTGGCTGATTTTATTTTTTATGTTTGTGGGTACATAGTAGGTGTATATATTTATGGGGTACATGAGATATTTTGCTACAGGCATGCAATATAAAGTAAGCACATAATGGCGAATAGGGTGTCCATTCCCTCAAGCATTTATCCTTTGAGTTACAAACAATCCAATTACACTCTTTATGTTATTTTAAAATATACAATTAAGTTATTATTGTGTATAGTCACCCTGTTGTGCCATCAAATAGTAGGTCTTTTTTTTTTTTTTTTTTAGAAGGAGTTTCGCTCTTGTTGCTCAGGCTGGAGTGCAATGGCACTATCTTGGCTCACCGCAACCTCCGCCTCCTGGGTTTAAGTGATTCTTCTGCCTCAGCCTCCCACGTAGCTGGGATTACAGGCATGTGCCACCATGCCCGGCTAATTTTTTTTTTTTTGTATTTTTAGTAGAGACGGGGTTTCTCCATGTTCATCAGGCTGTTCTTGAACTCCCGACCTCAGGTGATCCACCTGCCTCAGCCTCCCAAAGTGCTGGGATTACAGGCGTGAGCCACCATGCCCAGCAAACAGTAGGCCTTATTCATTGTGTATAACTATTTTTTTGTACTCATTAACCATTCCTCCCTTCCCACCCACCTTCCCACCACTCTTGGCAGTCTCTAATAACCATCTTTCTACTCTCTATGTCCATGAGTTCAATTGTTTTGATTTTTAGAACCCACAAATAAGTGAGAACATGCAATGTTTGTGTTTCTGTGCCTGGCTTATTTCACTTAACATAATGATCTCCAGTTCCATCCATGTGGTTGCAAATGACAATATCTCATTTTTCTAATGGCTGAATAGTACTTCATTGTGTATAAGTACCAAATTTTCTTTAGCCACTTATTTGTTGATGGAAACTTAGGTTGCTTCCAAATCTTAGCTATTGTAAACACTGTTGTGACAAACATAGGATTGCAGATAGCTCTTCAATATACTGATTTCCTTTCTTTTCTGTATATACTACCATCAGTGGAATTGCTGGGTCATATGGTAGCTCAATTTTTAGTTGATTGAGGAACATCCAAATTGTTCTACATAGTGGTTGTAATAATGTACATTCCCACCAACAGCGTACAAGGATTCCCTTTTCTCCACATCCCCACCAGCATTTGTTATTGACTGTCTTTTGAATATGTTGTTTTAACTAAGATGAGATAATATCTCATTGTAGTTTTGATTTGCATTTCTCTGATGATCAATGATGTTGAGCACCTTCTCATATAACTGTTTCTTGTCTTTTTTTAACAAATGTTTTTTTCAAATCTTTTGCTCATTTTTTGATCAAATTATAAATTCTACTTATTAATCTCTTGTCAAATGAGTAGTTTGCAAATATTCTCTCCCATTCTGTGGGTTGTGTCCTTTGCTATGCAGCTTTTTAACTTGAAATAATCTTATTTTTCTTCCTCTTCCTCTTCCTCCTCTTCCTCCTCTTCCTCTTCCTCTTCCTCTCCTTCTCCTTCTCCTTCTCCTTCTTCTTCTTCTTTTGGTTGCCTGTGCTTGTGGAGATATTGCTCAAGAAATTTTCGCTCAGACCAATGTCCTGGAGATTTTACCCAATGTTTTCTTGTAGTAGTTTCATAGTTTAAGGTCTTAGATTTAAATGTTTAATCCATGTTGCTTTGATTTTTTTTAATATGGTGAGATATGAGGGTCTAGTTTTAGTCTCCTGAACATAGATATCCAGGTTTCCCAGCACCACTTACTTAGGAGACTGTCTTTTCCCCAGTGTGTGTTTGTGGCATCTTTGTCTAAAATGAGTTCACTGTAGGTGTGTGGACTTGTTACCTCATTCTCTATTCCATTTCATTGGTCTATGTGTCTGTTTTTACACCAGTAACATGCTGTTTTGGTTACTATAGCTTTGCAGTATAATTTGAAGTCAGGTAATGTGATTCCTCCAGTTTTGTTCTTTTTGCTTAGTATAGCTTTGGCTATTCAGGGTCTGTAGTGGTTCCACATTAATTTTCAATTTGTTTTTCTATTTCTGTGAATAATGTAATTGGTATTTTGATAGAGACTGCATTGAATCTATAGATTGCTTTGGGTAGTATGGACATTTTAACATTATTGATTTTTTCAATCTATGAACATGGAATTTGTGGGAGTGTGTGTCCTCTTTAATTTCTTTCATCAGTGTTTTATAATTTTCCTTATATATCTTTCACTTCCTTGGTTAAGTGTTTCCTAGGTATTTTATTTTATGTGTGGCTATTGTAAATGGGATAACTTTTTAATTTCTTTTTCAGATTCTTCACACTGTTGACATATGGAATGCTACTGATTTTTGTATGTTGATTTTTTATCCTGCAAGTTTACTGAATTTGTTGATCAGTTCTAGTAGATTTCTTGTGGATCCTTTAGGTTTTTCCAAGTATATGATAGTATCATGCACAAAAAAGGATAATTTGATGTCATCCTTTCCATTTTGGGTGACCTTTACATCTTTTACTTGTCTGACTGGTCTATCTAGGACTTTAAGTGTTATGTTTAATAAAAGTGATGACAGCAGGTAAACTTTTCGTGTTCCAGATACTAGAGAAAAAGCTTGCAGTTTTTCAGCACTCAGTATGATAATAGTTCTGAGTCCATTGTATATGGCTATTAATATGTTGAGATACGTTCCCTCTATCCCCAGTTGTTTTAGGGTTTTTATCATGAAAGGATGTTTAATTTCATCAAATGCTTTTGCTTTTTCAGCATCAATTGAAATGATCATATGGATTTTATTCTTCATTCTGTTGATATGATGTATCACATTGATTAATTTGCATATGTTGAACTATCCTGACATTCCAGAAATAAATCCCTCTTGATCATGATGAATATTTTTTCTAATGTATTGTTGAATTCTGTTTGCTAGTATTTTGTTGACAATTTTTTGCATCAATATTTTCCATCTATATTGGCCCCTACTTTCCTTTTTATTGATCTGTTTTTGTTGGCTTTTGGTATCAGGATAATACTGGCCTAACAGAATGAGTTTCAAAGTGTTACCTCCTCCTCTATTATTCAGAATAGAATAGCTTGAGTGAGATTGTTATTAATTCTTCTTTAAATATTTGGTCAAACTCAGCAGTGAAGCCATGGGTCCTGGGCTTTTTTTTTTTTTTTTTTGCTTTATTTTATGGAGAGATTTTTATTATGGCTTTCATCTCATTACTTGTTATTCATCTGTTCAGGTTTTAGATTTATTTTTGGTTCAATCTTGGTAGGTTTTATGTATCTAGGAATTTGTCAAATTCTTCCAGATTTTCTCATTTATTGGCCTATAGTTGCTCACAGCAGCCACTATTGATCCTTTAAATTCTGCAGTATCAGTTTTAATGTCTCCTTTTCATTTCTGATCTTATTAATTTGGATATTTTCTCTATTTTTCTTAGTCTGGCTAAAAGTTTGTCAATTTTGTTTAACTTTTTAAAAAACAAATTCTTGTTTCATTGATCTTTTGTATTGTGGTTTGCATTTCAATGTCATTTATTTTAGCTCTGATTTTTATTATTTATTTTCTTCTGCTAATTTTGGATTTCATTTCCTCTTGCTTTTCTAGTTCTTTAAGACACATTGTTAGATTGCTTATTTGAAATTTTTCCTCTTTTTGATGTAAGCACTTATAGCTGCAAACTTCCCTCCTAGTGCTGGTTTTCCTGTATTCCATGGGTTCTGATATGTTGTGTTTCCATTACCACTTGTTTCAAGAAATTTGTTAATTTCCATCTTAATTTATTCATTGACCAACTTATCATTCAGGGACATATTGTTTAATTCCCATGTATTTCTATAGTTGCTAAAATTTATCTTGTTATTAATTTCTAGTTTTATTTCATTGTGGTCAGAGGTGATCCTTGATATTATTTCAGGTTTTTTTTGAATGTTTTAAAACTTGTTTTGTGACCTAACATATGACTATCTTTGGGAATTATCCATGTGCTAAGGAAAAGAGTGTCTATTCTGAAGCTCTTGGATGAAATGACTATAAATATGTATTAGATCCATTTGTTCTTCAGTGCAGATTAAGTCTCATGTTTCTTTGTTGATTTTCTGTCTACACGATCTATCCAATGCTGAAAGTGGGGTGTTGAAGTCTCCTGCTATTATTGTACTGGGTCCTATCTCTCTCTTAAGCTCTAACAATATTTGTTTTATGTATCTGTGTGCTCCAGTGTTGGGTGCATATATATGAAAAGTTTTTAGATCCTCTTGTTGAATAGATACCTTTATCATGATATAGTGACCATCTTTTTCACTTTTTATAGTTTTTGTCTTAAATTATATTTTGTCTGATATTAGTATAGCTACTTATGCTCTTTTTTGGTTTCCAAAGGCATGGAATATATTTTTCCATCTCTTTATTTTTCATCTATGTGTGTCTTTATAGGTAAAACTTGTTACTCATAGGCAAAAGATCAATGAGTCTTGTCTTTTTTATTCATTCAGCCAGTCTATGTCTTTTGATTGGATCATTTAGTCCATTTACATTCAATGTTATTATCGATGAGTAAGGGCTTACTCCTGCTAATTTGTTTGTTATTTGTTTTCTGTTTGTTTTGTGGTCATCTCTTCCTTATTTCCTTTCTTCCTGTCTTTCTGTAATCAAGTTAATTTTTCTGGTGATATAATTTTGTTTCTTGTTTTTATTTTTTGTGTATCCATTGTATGTTTTTTGGTTTGAGGTTACTGGGAGGTGTGCAAATACTATCATCTTCTAATCCATTATTTTAATCTAATAACAACACTATTTGCATAAACAAACAAACAAAAAGAAAACTAATAAAAAAAATCTGTTTTAGCTATTACCCCTGCTTTAACATTTTGTTGTTTCTATTTATATCGTATTGTACTATGTCTTGAAAAGTTGTACTTATTATTTTTCGTTTTGTCTTTCTAATTAAGAGTAGTTTACACACCATAGTTAGTGTTATAATATTCTGTGTTTTTCTTTTTACTTAATGTCATTAGTGAGTTTTATACCTTCAGGCAATTATTTATTGATCATTAATGTCTTTATATTTTTTATTGAAGTTCTCCCTTTAGCATTTCTTGTAGGACAGGCCTGGTGTTGATGAAATCCCTCAGCTTTCATTTGTTTGTGAAGGGCTTTATTTCCTTTTCATGTTTGAATAATATTTTCACCAGATATATTATTCTAGAGTAAAAGGTTTTTTTTGTTATTGTTGTTCAGCACTTTAGATATATCATGCCACTCTCTTTTGGCCTGTAAGGCTTCCACTGAAAAGTGTGCTGCCAGATGTATTATAGCTTCATTTAATGTTACTTGTTTCTTTTCTCTTGCTGCTTTTGGTATCTTTCCTTTATCTTAACCTTTGGAAGTTTCATTATTAAATGGCTTGAGGTCGTCATTTTGGGGGTAAATCTACTTGATGTTCTATAACTTTTTTTTTTTTTTTTTGGATACGGATAACTTTTCCTAGGTTTGGGAAGTTCTCTCTTATTATCCCTTTAAATGAACTTGCTACTTCTATCTTTTCCCTACCTTCTCTTTAAGGCCAATAACTTTTAGATTTGCCCTTTTGAGGGTTTTTTCTGGTTTCTGAAGGTGTGCTTCATTGTTTTCTATTCTTTTTTTTTATTTTGTCTTTTCTGACTGTGTATTTTCAAGTAGCTGTCTTCAAACTCACTATTACTATCTTCTGCTAGATCCATCCTGCTCTTAAAAGACTCTGGTGCATTCTCCAGTGGTAAAATTGCACTTTTATGCTCCAGGATTTCTTCCTGATTTTTTCAATTAGTTAATCTCTTTGTTAAATGTATCTGATAGAATTCTGGATTCCTTCTCTGCATTATCTTCAATTTCTTTGTGTTTCCTCAACACAGCTCTTTTGAATTATCTGCCTGAACGGTTACATATCTCTGTTTACCCAGAATTGGTCCCTGGTACCTTATTTCGTTCATTTATTGAGGTCATGTTTCCGTGGATGATGTTGATGCTGGTAGATGTTCTTTGGTGTCTGGGCATTGAAGAGTTGGCTATTTATTGTAGTATTTATTGTCTGGGCTTAGTTATAGATGTGCTTCATGGGAAGGGTTTCCAGATATTCGAAAGGACTTGGGTATTGTGATTTAATCAGTATCTACTTTAGGGGGCACCTCAAGCCCAGTAGAACTGTTGTCCTTTCAGATTCATAGAGGTACTGCCTTGATGGTCTTCAACAAGATCTGGGAGAATTCTCAGATTTACCAGGCAGAGACTTTTGTTCCTTTTCCTTTTGTTCTCCCAAAAATGTAGAGTCTCTCTCTTTTCTGAGCCACCTAAAGCTGGAGGTGAAATGACACAAGCACCATTGTTACCACCACCACTATGTGCTGGGTCACATTTGAAGCCAGCCCAGCACTGGTCCTAGCCCAAGGCAAGCTGTAAAAATTCACTGGCTTAAGAGCCCACTTTGTGCTCTGCCCCCTTGTGGTCATGCTGGTACCTAAGTTGCTATGCAAAGTTCCCTTTACTTTTTCCTCTGCTTTTTTCAAGCAGAAGGAGGTTTGTCCTATGGCCATTACAGCTGGTAATGTGCTGAGTCTTACCTGAAGCCAGAAAGTCTAAGGGCTAACCCAAGGCCGTCAATGTACTACCTGGGTATTGCTTCTGGTTATTTAGGGACCAAAGGCTCTTCAGTTAGCAGATGTGAATACTGCCAGGGCTAGGTCCTTTTCATCAAGGCAATGGGTTTCCTTCTGGCTCAGAGTGTGTCTAGAAATGTCTGGGAGCTAGGGCCTAGAATGTGGGCCTCACAACTCTGACTGATGCCCTATTTTGGTATGGCTGACATGGCATCGAAGATGCAAGACAAAGTCCTCCCCACTCTTCCTTTACTCTTCCTTCTCCTTTCCTAAATCAGAAGGAAGGAGTCTTATTTAGAGCTGCAAGCTGTGCTACGTGGCCTGGGGCCAGGGGAGGGTGATGCTAGCACTCCCATGGCTGCCCCAGTTGGTGTCTCACTATGTCAAATTGAGAGGTGAAGCCAGCTGGACTTCCTGTGTCGAGTGGGGACTTGGAGAACTTTTCTGTCTTACAAGAGGATTGTAAAACACATTAATCAGTGCTCTGTAGCTAGCAAAGGGATTGTAAAATGCACCAATCAGTGCTCTGTAAAAACGCACCAATTAACACCCTGTAGCTAGCAAGAGGATTGTAAAATGCACCAATCAGCACTCTGTAAAAACGCACCAATCATCACTCTGTAGTTAGCAAGGGGATTATAAAATGTACTAATCAGCACTCTGTAAAATGCACCAATCAGCAGGATCCTAAAAGTAGCCAATTGCAGGGAGGATTGAAAAAAACGACACTATGATAGGACAGAAACAGAACATGGGAGGGGACAAATAAGGGAATAAAAGCTGGCCACCCCAGCCAGCAGTGGCTACCCACTCAGGTCCTCTTCCACACTTTGGAAGCTTTGTTCTTCCGCTCTTCACAATAAATCTTGCTGCTGCTCACTATTTGGGTCCGTGCCATCTTTAAGAGCTGTAACACTCACCACGAAGGCCTGCGGCTCCATTCTTGAAGTCAGTGAGACCACAAACCCACTGGAAGGAACCAACTCTGGACACAAAATGATCCCCCCACCAGCCCAAGTCCACTTTATCTTGGCCTAGTTCTGCACTAGATGTTGCCTAAGAGATGTAGTCATCATGCTCTAGACTGCCTTTCAAATTTACTTGGGGACACAGAGTGCTGTAGTTCTTTCGTGGTGAGGTTTCATGAACTCAAATTTGGACTGCTTAGATTGGGATTTCCCTCTGGCTAGGGCTGGTTTAAATGTTCCCTTTCTGAACGGCCATCAGCTGACTTTGTTCTGGTTTTTCTTTCTGCTCTTACAGGACAGCACCAAGTTCTATTCCCCACAATTGCTGTGTTATCCCTACAAAAATACTCAGACAGGCTCGCAGCAACAAGCTGCTGCTGCTGGATGTTGGGGAAGTGGTGGCATCCGCGATTCCAGACTGTTTTTTTCTATCTCTTAGGTGCTTTTTTACAGTGATATAAAGTTAAAACCAGGTACCATGAGTGCTCACCTAATTTTCGTTTCTTATGAAGGTGTTTTTTCTATGTAGATACTTATTAACTTGTTGTCCTTGCAGGGGGGATGATCTATTTTTGTCTGCCTGTCTTACTTCAGAAAGATAGGCTTCAAGCTTTGAGATTCTTTCCTCTACTTGATCTATTCTGTTATTAATACTTGTGATTGCATTGTGAAATTCTTATAGTGTGCTTTTAGCTCTATCAGGTTGGTTATGATCCTCTCTATATTGGCTATTTTGGCTGTCAGCTCATGCACTGTTCTATCATACCTCTTAGCTTCTTTGCATTGAGTTACAACATGCTTCTTTAGCTCAGTGAAGTTCATTTTTACCCACATTCTGAAGCCTAGTTCTGTCATTTCAGCCATCTCAGCCTTATCCCAGTTCTGAACCCTTCCTGCAGAGGTGTTGCAGTTATTTGGAGGAAAAGGGGCACTCTGGCTTTTTGAGTTTTCAGCATTTTTGTGCTGATTCTTTCTCATCTTTGTGGGCTCATCTACCTTCTGTTTTTGAGATTGCTTACCTTTGGATGGAGTTTTTCTGGTTTTTTTTGTTGTTTGTTCCTTTGTTTTTCTTTTAACCATCTGGCCACTCTTCCATAGGGCTGCTGCAGTCCGCAGTGGGTCTGCTCTATATTTTAGTCACCTATGTTTGTCCAGTACCTGGAGGTATCACTAGTGAATGCTGTGAAACAGCAAATATGGCCTTTTGCCACTGTCTCTGGAAGCTCTGTCCCAGGGGGGTACTGACCTGTTACCAGACTGAACGCACCTGTAGGAGGTGGGTGGAGACCCTGGTTGGGACGTCTCACACAGTCAGAGGAATGGGATCAAGAAACCCCTTAAAGATGCATTCTGATTGCTTTTGCGGAGAGCAGCTGTGCTGTGTTGGGGATCTCTTCAGCCCCCAATTGGTTTGGCCTCTCCAAGGCCAATAGGCTAGACTGGCTGAGATGCCCAAATAGCCAACATGGTGGTCTTCCCCACCCCCCGGCACTCCACCCCAGGGAGAAATTAGCACTCCGTCTCAGCCTTAAAACATAGGCAGGGGTGGCCAGAAGCCCTGGGTGAGAAAACCCTTATCACAAGAAGTGAACTGCAGTCCCACTTAAAAAAGCAGTCTGGCCATGCCTTGACAAAATAGCCATGTCATGCTGATGAACCAACTGTGACCCTGTCAGCTTGGGCTCTTTAAAGCCCACAGGCTGGAATGGATGAGTTGTCCAAACAATCAACCTGGCAGCCCTCCCCTACATTTAGGTACTCTGTCCCAGGGAGAGATCAGAGCTCTGTCTATAGAATACATGTGAGTGGGGGTGGCTGGAGGCCCTAGCTGGGAGGTCCTGCCCAGTGATGTCTATTTCTTTTATGTTCATTTGGTCTATATAGTGTTGTGCAAGTCTGTTTCCTTTTTAACTTTCTGTCTGGATATTCAATCAATTATTTCAAGTTTGGTATTAAAATCTCCTACAATTGTATTGCTATCTATTTCCCTTTAATGTTTATTTTATATATGTAGATGCTCTGATATTGTGTAGAAATAAGTTTATAATTCTTATATCTTCTTGATAAATTGATATTTTATTATTATAAAATTACCTTCTTTGTATGTATCTTGTGACACTTTTTGACTTAACATCTCTTTCATCTGATGGAAGTATAGCTCCCTATTTTTTTTGTTGTTCTTATCTGTATAGCATATCATTTTCTATCACTTCACTTTCAGCCCGTGTGTGTCCTTGAATCCAAAGTGTATCTCTTCTAGGCAGCATAAAGTTGGATCTTGCGTTTTTATCCATTCAGCAACTCTGTCTTTTCATGGGGGAGGTTAATCCATTTATGTTTAAATTATTTTTGGTAGGTAAAGACTTACTCTTGCAATTTTGTTGGTTTTTTTTTTTCTGTCTTGCAATTATTCTGTTTCTCTTTCCTCCCTTACTGGTTTCTTTCCCTTTTTACTAATTTTTTTGTAGTGATATGCATTAATTCCTTCCTCCTTTCTTTTGTGTATATTCTATATGTATTTTGTTTGAGATCACATGAAGCAACATAAAATATCTTGTAGTTATCACCATCTAATATAAGCTAATAGCAAGTTAACTTCAATCATTTACAAAACTCTACATATTTACTTCTCTTTCTACACACTTTATGTTTTTGATGTCACAATTTGTATCTTTTACATTGTGTATCCACTAACACATTTTTGTATTTATTGTTATTCTTAAGACTTTTGTCTTTTAATTAATGTTATACTAAAATGAAAAGTGATTTACCCATTATCGTTGCATTATTATGGTATTCTGTATTCACATATTTACCTTTACCAATGAGTTTCATACTTTCCTATGCTATCATATAATGTTCAGCATCCTACATTGCAACCTGAATAACTCTTTTAGCATTTTTGTAAGGCAGATCCAGTGGTGATGAACTCTTTCAGTTGTTGTTTGTTCAGATATGTCTTTATCTCTCCTTCATTTATGACAGTTTTGCCAGGTATAGTATTCTTGATTGGCAGTTATTTTCTTTCAACACATTGAATATATCATCCTACTACCTTATGTCCTGAAAGGTTTATGCTGGGAAATCTGCTGATTGGCTATTGATGGTTTCTTTGTATATGACAAGTTGTCTGTCTCTTACAGATTTCAAAATTCTCTCTCCTAGACTTTTTATAATTTGATTATAATGTGTCTTGGTGGATAATGTTTTGGATACTTTGGGCTTTGCTAGTCTAGATGTCCATTTCCCTCTTCAGATTTGGCAAATTTTTGGCCACTATTTCTTTAAATAAACTTTCCACTCTTTCTCATTCTCTTTTCCTTGTGGAATTTCCATAATGTATGTATTTGTTTGATGGTGTTATATAATTTCTGTAGGCTTTCTCACTCTTTATTATTATTCTTTGAATATTCTGGAAGCTTCTCAAACCTTTTCTATGCGTATGTTTTCTCTGTACTGCTGTGTATAGATTTCTAATTAGAAGAGATTTACAGACTGATTTTTTTTTCAGTAATTTGTAATCTCTTGCTCCCTCTGGTGTCTTCCTTTTGTACCATAGGCTGGAGACATGCTCCACTCCTCTCCCTTCTTGCCTTTGGAGAAACTACAATTACTGTACCATCTTTGAGTCTCACAGAGCCATAATGAGTACAGCAAGCCACTTGTCCCTTTTCCTTATTTCTTAGCTGCCCCTACTAAACTCTGAAAGTTCTATTACTGTTCTAGTTGAAGAAAGAATATAGCACATTGAGATTTAGACTGGAAGTCCAGGATGTTAGAGGCACACTTCACTCCTCTCTCTCCCTCCTGAGAAAGAAGCCTCAGGTTCTGTGACTTCTCTCAATCTGACAAAGCTGTGTTACATTGTAAGCCAACTACCCCCATTTTTTTTGTTATAATTGCCACTGGGCATCCAAACTGTGCCAGCTCCTTTAGCACTCTGTGCAAAAAAAGACAGAAACTGTCTTGAGTGGCACACCAAAAGGCTGGGAAATTGGAGACATACTTAATGCTCTAATTTTCCCTAAGGAGGAAGTTGCTTACAGAGGGAGTCTCTCTCAGTGCTGAGCTGCTCTGGCTTAAGAAGGGGCTAATGCAGATAAATTAATATTGCTTTTCTTATTCATTTCAATGCAGTTGTTTTCAGTTTTGTGCTCATCTGGAGTACTGCAACTTCTTAACTAAATTATGGTCTTCTCATAAAGAAGTTTTGGTCCACATATCATTGTTAAATCAGTGTTTCTGTGGGGAATGAGGGCTGTGGCTACATATTCTACCATCTTGCTGACATTATTCCTTCTTAGTTAAGTTTTACCAAAATCTAGATAAGGCAATGATCCATCAAAGTGGATTCTTAAATTTCTCACATTGCCTCTACTAATTAGTCTATTAGAATATATAACCTTGTAAAAATTACCATTCCATAAATTCACTTTAGTAAATGAGGAAAATATATTTTATTTTAATTTAATTTAATTTGAATTAGGGATATATTTGGAAATACAATCCAAATTCAATTAAAAAAGAGAAAAGAAACTTTATAAAGAAGAATAAATTCCAGAAATTATCAGCACATTTTAATCAGAAAACTATATAAAGGAACATGTAATATTTTGCTGGTATTTAAATACAGGTATTGTACATAGGTATCTCATCAAAGTCCCATTTATTTTGCAATGAATTAGAACCAAATGACAGAGATATAAATTTTTGTAAGAATATATTTGTAGGATTTTTTCTAGTATAATTTTTTATAATCATATTAGCAAAGTAATATCAATTAATTTATTGATTAAGACCCTTGACAATCTTGTGTAATACCAATGTTATTTTAGTGTTTACTTATTTAAAAGAAAGCATTACATTCTTTAAAGACACAGGGAAGAAGAAAATATAAAGACATACATGCTAGAATCAGGAAGGCAGTTGTAAAACGAAGCATAGCATGATTCTATTAAGTGACAATCACTGGAGTTATTGATTATATATTTATTTTTAAGAGCTTTAATCCTTTTCCCATTTAGAAAACAAATGTGCAGCTTACTGTCAGCTCTCATTTAATTTTACATAAATGTGCTCTGAGGCTGAAGCAAATCTGATTTTCAATATGAAAATAAAATATAAAAACCGTTCTTGGAGTTATTTCTAAAGAGATCTAACGTCAGAATTGTCTGAGTCATCAGAATCATCTATTTCAGACAAATTGCCCTCATCAAATGAATCTTCAGTCAACAACTGTTTGAGAATGATGTTAACATCATGCGTAGGAATGTTACATTTCCTAGGATTTGACATTTTTGGCAATCAAGAATTACCACATAATGTAAATGGAAATACCACTACTAAAAACAGAATGTTATAAATAGAACGATGTCTTTTGTTTTCAAAGCTGATATACTAGAGCTATGTGAAAATAAGAATAAAAGCACGATATTTTATGTCAAAATTATCTCAGCGTAAATGCTGCAGCCACAAGTGCCACCGGCGTGTATGCTCCGGGAAAACAGGAAAAGGAAAAGGGTTAAATATATTTAATGTTTTAGCATAACCTGTAAGTTTTAGCATTTTAGCATACACTTATCTGTATGTTGTAATCTAATGCAGTGTAGCTTACTTAGTGGCAAAATTTCCTGCTGTTTAACTTTATAACAGTATTTCAATGTAAAGTGACTTAATTAAGCACATGACATTTTAAAATATTTTCATTGTTCATGAAGTTTTAATCAATACCATACTTAAAGGCCAGCTATTATTCTTTCTCATGGACTAGATTTATTATTTTGTAATTTTAATAAAAATGCTTTATTTAAAATATGATGTTTCATTTCAATCTAGCAGGTTAAACTAATAATTTTCTATATATTTGGTAAGTATTTTTAAAAATAAAAGTATATCCATATCTATGTGTATGTAGAGAGAGTCCTCATAAAAAATATTGTCTTGAAAGATTCTGAATAAGACTGCATACAATTGATCAATTCGACATATTAACTAGTAAATAGTTATATAAAACCGTCACAAGTGTAAAGATTTCGTAACAGGATAGCCACATTACAAAAACTATAGTTTTATGTTACTTTAGAAACACATCAAATAAAATAATTTTATAATGGTAAATACTCCATATAAATCATCAATTGTAGTTCATTTTATTTTTAGATAAACTTCATTTATCATTGAAGATTTTTGTTTTTATAAAAACCGCTTTTATTTGAAACAATAATTGTACATATTTACCAGGTCTAGAGTGACATTTCAAGACATATACAAGGTGTAACTAGGATATGCATTACTTCAAACATTTATAATTTATTTGTTTGGGGAATATTTAAAAATCCTCTTGAGTATATTGTGTTTTTAAAGCTGTCTTCCTTGGCATATAAAGTTTTTTTTCTTATGTTTTATGGATTAAAATACAGGTACATATAATGTATTTTTCAGCTTTCACATATTACCTCAAATATCCAAAACTACATGAAATAGAAAATACAATTATTTCTCTTTTTGGCTATCAAGGGTAAAGAGTAAGGATGATCACCAACCTCATCAGAAATTATACCTCCCAGTTATCACTGTTTCTATTAAAACAAGAGCTTCTGATTACTTTCCAATATCATAGTATTGTAGAAATCTCACTGGAGGGGCAGACTCCAATTTTTATAATTGCAACATGGATCTCCTTATAGGTTAATGTTAATGAAGTTTCTATGTTATCACAGTATTTCCCAAATTTTCAAACCAACACTATAAAGTTTCACAAATATTTAACTTATGGACCTTATCTGAGATGTTATCTTTTCAGTATTGCCAGGATCAAGTATTTTCAGTAGTTTATATTAACTCAGCTATTTGCTTTTTAGCCCCTCATTTTTAGTTAAATGGAAGTGAAATCCAAGATTTGCTGGCTCTAAATATATAGTTCTCCCCAGTACGCACTTCTTTTTACAAATTTCATTCTCACTGCCCAGATTAGATTCTGTCTTTCCCCTAATACTGTTACCACTTCAGCCCACAATGTTTTCCCTCTGCTAAATTGTAAAACATCTATGTGTCTTGCATTTTTCAAGTTTCCTTATATCACCTGTTTTTCCTGACTTCTGACCATCTTGGAAAATCTACTCTAGATATATCTTCAGTTTCGATTTCCCTCATTTACAGGATAACTATAACTAGACCTAAAACTGAAAATGTAATATGACTAGCAGAAAGTCTAATATGTCATTATCACCTATACCAGCAGTCCCCAACCTTTTTGGCACCAGGGACTGGTTTCGTGGAAGACAATTTTTCCATGGATGGGGGATGTTGGAGGGGATGGTTTCGGGATGAGACTGTTCCACATCAGATCATCAGGCATTAATTGGATTCTCATAAGGAGTGCACAACCTGGGTCCCTTGCATGCACAATTCACAATAGGGTTCCTGCTGCTATGAGAATCTAATGCTGCTGCTGATCTGACAGGAGGCAGAGTTTAGGAAGTAATACTCACTTGTCCGCCACTCACCTCCTGCTGTGCGGCCTGGTTCCTATCAGACCGCGGACCATTACTGGTCCTCACCCCTGTATCAGGAAACTTCTAGTAAAGAAGCTAAAGATTGTATTCATTGATTTTGTTAGCCATATTACACGCTATTCGTTCATACTGTAATTGTGATCAACTGATCTGGTAAGATTTTTAAAATTTGAACTGTGGATGACAATTTCTTCTATTTCAAATGTTTTAAACCTAAACATCAGACTTTTCATTGAATCCTGTTACATCACTTTTTTATCATAACATTCTAGGCTAGAAATAATATTAATAATAACTGCCATTCAATGCATGAGAATGTTTTACACTTTACAGAACAGTGGCACACATGTTATTTCGTTATATCACCAACACTGCAAAGTAAGTTATGATCATTACCTCCTTTTAAGTTAATAAGTTAATAAATGGAAGATTTTATATTCTCAGTTCTTCTCACTTCAAATCCAGTATAGTACTTCCATACCATGAAGCCTCTCCAGATAATTCCAGTCATTACACACACAAACATATGCCCACACTGATTAGCCTCCTAATTTCGTGGTGGCACAAAATTGAATTTATTTACTTATGAATTTCTGTCTTATTTCAAAAAAAGTGAGGCGATTTTAAGTGTGCAAACTTAATTGCACACTTTAAATAGGTGAATTCTATGGCATGCTAATTATAACTCAATACAGTGTTTAGAAAAAGTGCATTGCCAGCATTCTTCTTGACAAACTGAGTGGGTTTCTCAATCTAATACATATTTAGAAAACAACTATTAGTTTGGATGCTATCATTGTTTCATTTCCCCTGAAAAATAATTAAAAACAACACTTGATTTTTTTAAAGCATAATTTGAACTCTTGTTAGCCTTGGATTCTGTAGATTAGAATTACTCATGAACAATGACACATTTTCGGTTTAAATGGGCATTAGTACTTCTTTAGCACTTGTTCTATAACATAATGCTTCTGGAATCACAATAGTTAAGATTATTGGATATGATGAAATTTCCATTTCAAGGATTATAGCTCAACACTTGTTTTAATATATTTTACATTTTTAAATTATATTCACTGAACTGCATAGGCTACCTACTATTACAAATAGGAAGTTAAATGCTTCCCTCCAAGGTGATAATTTTTTTTAGTTTTGAATAGACTTGGCTTTAAGAATAAGGTTAATTATTTAGCTATCTGTTGTCACAAAGAATAGCTTACATATTTAAATGATATTGTTACATTTAGCATCCATTCTTCAGGATTTAAGTGGACAGTAGTAAGTGATTCCATCTAAATACTGAAATCATTCAATACCTTGTGGTTGTTAGCTTATTATGTTATACCTATGAAGACAAAGACTTGCTGAAATTATTTTAAGACTTTCCTTTATAATTTTTACTCCAAAAATATTTGTATGGCTTAGCACATACAGCCAAGTATGTATTCAAATCATCAGGTATAGTGAAACATTTTATTGAGCACAAAGTTTTATAATATCTCTGGGTGTTTCTGCAGCACATTTCTATAGAGAGTTATGATTGTTCTCATATCAAGCAAAATAAAATCAGTCTCTAAATCTTTACCACAGAAATTAAACACAACATTGGGTCTTTATTATTTAATCAACAACATATAATACTAATACTTCATATACTTATGCGCCCCCATCAACTAAATTCCCATCCATCTATTCATTCTCTATCTCATATCACCTTGTTCTATTTTCTTAATAAACTAGTCACTATTGAAGTTATCTTGTTCACTTATTTGTTTATTTGTATATCTATTTTCCCTCACTTCAGTATATAACCTCCACATGAGCTGAGATTCTACCTATCTTTTTCACCTCTTAATCTCATTGTCTATATAGTATTTCAAAATCAATTGGAGACTATTTGAAAAAAAGAGAGAAAAATTTATGGGCTATGCACTAGGTACAGGGAATTAGAATCTCTGGGAGTATGGCCCAGGGATCTGTGCTTTTCGAAAATTTCACCAAGTGATACTAATGTAACAACTCCTCTGAATAGTTCTGATTGTCGTTTAAAGCCCACTGGTCTAGGGCACATGCCAATTGTAAATTCTGATTCTATTAGCTCATCAAAAAGCAAGAATCCTGCATTTCATAATGTGGTAACTCAAACAAATGCCTTTACTGAATTTATGATTCAAATATGGCCTTTAATCTTGATAGAAGAGGATTAAGAAAAACATTTGTATGAGAAATATTTGTCGCTTTTATGAGATTAACCAAATAAATTGTCCTTTGAATAACATAATGGTCAGTACTTTAATGAGTCAGCAAACCAATTCTTCTTTATCTTAATGGTAAGAAAAATTTATCTCTCCCTATGAACTTGTGTGCTTTCATTTATTTTTTTTTTTAAGTTTTCCTTCCTAGTTTTTTTTTTTTATTATACTTTAAGTTTTAGGGTACATGTGCACAATACGACCCAACATATTTTCCTTCTGCTTTAGCATAAGACAATATCAAAATAAGTTTTACTATTCAACTATAGAAACTAATTGATGCTAAGTGCCAGGTAATTCACTCTTATTTTCCATTATTTATTTGCTTGTTTCCAGAGCTGTCTTTTATAAATGTAAATCTGATTGTAATGGTTCTTCAGTATATGTTTTAATATTTTCAGCTACCACAAGTCCTATCTGAAAAGAGTGGACTATAAAATGATAAATACAGAGCTTTTTATATAAAAACATTGAACATATGTCTTCTCATATCTATTTGGATGTGTACAAGTGCATATTAGCTCATTAATAGAGAGAAAGAGAGAGAGAGCTCTTTTCAGAGAGCTTTGTACATTGAGTGCTTATTTTGTTAAATAAGTGACTACATGTATAGATTACTGATCAAACTGCAATTTATACCTAAGGAAGGAAGAAAGGGTAGACAATTTGTGAATTTTATCTCTTCATGTGCTTTACTTTCCAATGGCACTTTAAGTAATATTTTATACTTTATTTAGAACTGTGTGAATGTGAAAGCTTTCGCAGAAACTAGTTCTTTGGTATGATGCAAGAAGATGTAATTCTCTTGGTAAACAATTTCTTTACCAAGAACCACAAATATTCACATTAAAACTGTTATTCTTGGAAATAGAAATGCAAACAGAATTTCAACTGATTGCTTGGCTAACTGTTATTTTTTATTTTTGTTAGTAGCAAGAGTTTGTTCCTTACCCTGTGTGTTCACCTGCCCCCTCAAGCCAAATAGCAGATTTTGTATTTTATTTTGCAGGATGTTATTGGGGGTTATTTTTTAATTCCAGTAAACATACATTGTTAAGTGTGGAAAGAATAGCTTCACTAAAATAATCAACACTTTTCATACAGACATAAACATGACAAATAAATCAACAAATCCATTAGGGATAAATACACTCATGAGAAAAATGTCTCTATATCAATTGACTTTTCTGAGAAAATAAATGACAAATACTTCTGTTTCATAGGGGATGGATAAACTGTAGTAAAATCATAAACATAAAGGATAAGGATGAATAAATTTTATGTGTTATAAAAATATAGGGAAAACTATGTTTTTGAAGCATTAAAGCTTTTTTAAAATTAGAAACATTTTTACTGCTGTCATGATCCTATTTCATGCAGTGATTTCTTGTCTAAATCAAATCAGTGAGCCACAAATTCTTCACAATACTGAGGCCAAATGTTTCTTTATACAGTTAAATTATTTTCCCAGTAGCAGACTTTGTGAAACCATGAAATAGCTTTGGTTTTCTATCTACTTGTCAAATAAAGTTGAGGATTTTCTAAAATGATCTTTATATTCTTTAAGTTTTGACAAAGTGGCAGGAAGATGTTAATCTTGGTGTTTAAATCACCAAAAGAGTGGTTTTCGAGAATATTTTTTGTTGTAGTAAGGTAAAAAGTATAATGTAAAAAGGGTTCATTTAATCTAGAAATTTAACAAGATTGATGGAAACTATATTCAATGTTCTAAAACTATAAAATGCATACGAATTGATTAAAAATTTATTTATACACTACAGTTTAACCCTTGAAGCTCACAGAAGTATAATATATGGCAAACAGCAGAATATATTTCAGAGATAAATGAGTTGTCAGATTATAAAATATGTACCCTGAGAGTTGATACAGGTTTAAAATAAATAACAGTTTGCTTAAATTACTACACAACCATCTCTAAGAATTACGTTACTGAAATCTGATCATGGTACTGCCTTTTTGAAAGCTGTTAATGAATCCCAATTTCCTACTAACTTAAGCACAAAATTGAAATGACAGCATTCATCATCAACATGCCACAATATATATCTTTCCTGACATACTGCCAAATTCCATTTAATCCTACCTCCCAAATATTTTCAAATCCTTGAACTTCTATACTTATTTCATCACCTATTTCATACACTTCGCCTTCACATTGCCAGTAAAATGATGTTTAGAAGTATAAGTCTAGTCACTCCATTGCCCTTTGCTAAAATGCTTCCCCTTTCCTTTGGGAAAATATTGAAAATAAATACTATCTTCTACAAACCCCTGATTAATCTCACCTAATTTGCTTGAATTCATGTGATAACTCTCCTTCTTTTACTCTCTCTAGCTATACCTGGGTTAATTCTAAATCGATTTTTACTATGGGAAGTTCCAATGTATTCCTTCTGTCTTGGCATAATTACTGAGAGCAGCTCCTTTTCAGTCTAAAAATTGTTCATGTTTGGAAGATAAATGATACGGTCATTCTCAGTATACTTCTCTCAATTCCATGAACCTGCCATGCTCTATCAGGTTCTTACAACTCCCTCTGTCTAGAATGTTTGTTTCTATAATCCTCATTGAGCTACCCTACTTATAACAGGCAATCTATATATAATTATCAACTAACTGGCCACTACAGATACCTGACATATGCCTATATAAAGATTAAAACATTGTCCAAAGATTATGTAAACTACCACCTCTCTTTTGAAGTCTCTTTCTCAAATCTTCTAAAGTAGATAAAATAGCTCCTTCCTCTCAAATACATACATTTTGTACCTCTTATGATATTCTGTTTTTGTACTAATTTTCCCTTAAGATCATAAATTCCTTTAAGAAAGGGACCATGACTCACTTAACCTGTTCTCTGAAATGTATCTAGTACATTACTTATCTAACACAGTACTTTGAACATAACAGACTTGTTCAATTAAAAAAATTGTTATTGTGGTAAAATTCACACAACATGAAATTCAGCACTTTAACCATTATAAAATGTAAAATACAATGGCTTTTAGGAAAGTCACAATGTTGTGCAACCATCATCAACATTTATTTCCGAAACATTTTCACCACCTCAAAAGGAAACTCCATAACCAATAAACAGTTACTCCTCCTTCATCTCTCTCCCTATCCTTCAGCAACCATTGATCTGCTTTCTGTCTCTTTACGTTCGTCTATTCCAGGTATTTTATATAAATAGAATTACACAACATGTGACCTTTTGTATCTGCTTTCATTTAATTAGCATAATGTTTCCAGGGCTTATCCATGTTTTAACATGTATGTATTTCATTCCTTTATACGGCTGAACAGTATTTCATAGTATTTACCACATTTTGTTTATTCTTTCATTGGTTGAAAGAATTTCATTGATTTTGGTCAGTTCCACCTTTTGACTATTGTGAATAGTGCTGCTGTGAATATTCCTGTACACATTACTGTTTGAAAAACTATTTCAGTTATTTTGAGTATATACCTAGGAGTGAAATTGTTGGGTAATATGGTAATTGTATATTTGACTTTTTGAGGAGCTTCTAAACAGTTTTCTACAGTGGATTCACCATTTAAAATTCCCATCAACAATACTTGAGGGTTCCCATTTCTCTACATTGATGCCAATACTTGTTATTTTCCTCTTTGGTTTAATTGTAGGCAGGCTAGTGGGTATAAATTGTTATTTCATTATGGTTTTGACTTGCATTTCCCTAATGACTAATGATGTTGAGCATCTTTTAAATGTGCTTGTTGCTCATTTGTATATCTTCGTTGAAGAAATGAATCCTTTGCCTATTTATGAACTGTATTATTCATCTCTTAGTTGTTTAGTTGTATATGTTCTTTATATATTCCAGACACAAGCCCTCTATCAGGTACATGATTTGCACATGTTTTTCCCCCTTTTGTAGGTTATCTTTTTCATTCCCTTGATTGTATCCTCTGAAGCATAAAAAATTTATTTTGATGAGTTCCAATTAATTGATGTTTTCTTTGTTTCTTGTACTTTGGCGTCATATTTTTAAAAATGTGAAATCCAAAGTAATGAAAATGTTTGAGTTTTATAGCTTTAGCTCTTATATTCAGGTCTTTCATCCATTTTGAGTTATTTCTTATATGCTTTGAGCTAAGGATCCAACTTCATTCTTGTGCATGTGGAAATCCAGTTTTCCCAACAGCATTTACTGAAGAGACTATTCTTACCCCATTGTATAGTCTTAGCACACTTGTCAAAAATCAACTGACCATAGATGTATGGGGTTTAGTTCTGAAGCTTCTTTTTTATTTTGTTGGTCTATATGTCTATCCTTATGAAAGTACTACACATATTTGATTACTGTAAGCTTTTTATCCTTATGAAAGTACTATACATATTTGATTACTGTAGCTTTATTTTTGATTACTGTAGCTTTATGCTAAGATTTGAAATCAGAACCTATTAGTCCTTGAACTTTGTTCTTCATTTTCAAGATTGTTTTGACTATGCAGGGTCCCTTGCTATTATATCTAACGTTTACAATTAGTGTTTCTATTTCTGCAAAAAAAAAAAAAAAAAAAGAAAAAAAGAAAAGAAAAAGAAAAAAAGCTGTAGGGATTTTGATAGCGATTGCATTGAATATGGAGATTGCTTTGGGGAGTATTACCATTTAAAAAATATTAAGTCTTCCAATCCAGGAACACAGGATATCTTTCCATTTATTTACCTCTGCTTGAATTTCTTTTAGAAATGCATTTTTTATTATAATAACAATAAAGCCCCATTTTCTCCCCTTCTTAGCTCCAGATAATCACTATTATACTTTCTGCCTGTATTAATTTGACTCCTCTAGGTACATCATGTAAATGGAATCATACAATATTTGTCCTTTTTTTGTATAATTTATTTAACTTAGCATAATTTCTTCAACATTCATCCATGTTGTAACATGTATTAGAATTTCAGTTTTTGAAAAATAATCAGAATGATTTTTAAAAAATAATTTCAACTTTTATTTTAGATTCAGGGAGTAAATGTGCAGGTCTGTCTCATGGGAACACTATGTGATGCTGAGATTTGGGGTATGGATGATCCCATCACCTAGACAGTGAGCACAACACCCATTAGGCAGTCTCTCGCTTTTACTCCCCTCCCTCCCTTCCCCCTCCAGAAGTCCCCAGTGTCCATTTCTCCCATATTTATGTTCATATGTACTCAATGTTTAGCTCCCACTTATAAGTGAGAACATGCGGTATTTAATTTTCTGTTTCTGCATTAATTCGCTTAAGAATAACAACCTCCAGCTGCATCTATGTTGCTGCAAAGGACATGATTTCCATTCTTTTTAAGGCAGAATAGTGTTTCACTGTATGTATATATAAATTTTTGTTTATTCATTAATCAGTTGATGGATATTTGAGTTATTGCTAACTTTTGACTATTGTGAATAATGCTGTTGCACAAATACCTACTTGTCCCTGCTTTCACTTCTGTGGGCGTATACCCAGAATTATAATTGCTAGATCATGCCATAATTCTATGTTAATTTTTCTGAGAAACTGCCACATTATTTTCCATAAAATGCATTGTTTTACATACTTTATATACTCACCAGAAATGTACAAGAGTTCCAGTTTCCCCACATTCTAATTAATACTTGTCACTTTCTTTTTTTTATTTGTTTATGTTTTGTTTTGTTATCGTATCCATCATAATGAGCATCATAATGAGCATGAGGTAATATCTCATTGAAGTTTCTGTCACCTAAAATGCTATGATATATGATGTTAGCTGCCGATTTTTCATAAATATCCTTTGCCAGGCATAGGAAGATCCCCTCTAATCCTTAGTTCATTGTTTTAATCATGAAAGGGTGCTAAATTTTGCAAAATGCCTTTTTTTAACTTCTATTTTAAGTTCAGGGGTATAAGTGCAGGTTTGTTACATAGGTAAACGTGTCATGGGAGTTTATTGTACAGACTATTTCATCACCCAGGTATTAAGCGTAGTACTTATTAGTTATTTTCTTGATCCTCTCCCTCCTCCTGCCCTCCACCCTCCAAAACGCCTCATCGTGTGTTGTTCTCCTCTATGTGTCCATGTGTTCTCATGCCAAATGCTTTTTCTGCATAGAGATTGTAATGATCTTTTTTCATTATATTAATATGACTTATTTCATTGATTAATTTTTGAATGTTGACCCAACTTTACCAGAATAAATCCCACTTGGTGGCTGTGTAAAATCCTTTTACTATGACGCTAGATTCGGTTTGCTAGTACAGACGTTCTCACTTAAAAGAGTTTGACTTATGATTTTTCAACTTTATGATGGTACAACAGTGATACATATTCAGTAGCAACTGTACTTCAAGTATCCATAAAACAATTTTATTTTTCACTTTCAGTAGAGTATTCAATAAATTATGAGATATTCTTCACTTTACTATGAAATAGGCTTAATGTTAGATGATTTTGCCCAATTTTAGGCTAATGTAAATGTTCTGAGCACATTTAAGGTGGATTAGGCTAAGCTATGATTTTCAGTAGGTGTATTATTTGCATTTTCAACTTACGGTATTTTCAACTTATGATGGACTTTTCATGACATAACTCCATTTGTTTTTAGGAACAATTGTATTTTTTTTCAATGATTTTTTGTATCTATTTTCATGAGGGATGATTTTTATGTTTTATTGTGAAATCTTTGTTTGTCTGTTAACATAATAATGCTGGCTTTATGGAACTAGCTGCGAAGTCTTCCCTGCTCTTCCATTTTTTGGAAGAGTTTCAGAAGGATTGAGGTTTATTATTTTTAAATGTTTGGTAGAATTTACCAGTGAAGCAAAATGGTCCTGGCTTTTATTGTTGAGGGGGTTTATTTTATTTTACTTTAAGTTCTGGGATACATGTGCAGAACGTGCAGGTTTGTTACATAGGTATACGTGCGCCATGGTGGATTGCTACACCTATTGACCTGTCCTCTAAGTTCTCTCCTCTCGCCCCCCACCCCTCAACAGGCCCTGGTGTGTGTTGTTCCCCTCAGTTGGGAGTTTTTTGATTAATAACTCATCTTTAATTGTCATATGCCTTTTCAGATTTTCTATTTTTTCTAGAGGCAGTGTGTTATTTTGTGTGCATTTACAAATTTGTCCATCTCATCTAGGATACCTAAAATGTTGGGAAACAATTGTTTATAATCAACTCTTATAATTATTTTTGTATCTGTAAGATCAGCAGTAGTGTCCCCTAATTCATTTCCTTTTTTTTTTTTTTTTTTTTTTTTTTTTGGCACAATCACGGCTCACTGCAACCTCCACCTCCAGGGTTCAAACAATTTTTGTGCCTCAGCCTCCAGAGTAGCTGGGTTTACAGGCATGTGCCACCAAGCCCAGATACCTTTTGTATTTTTAAGAGACAGCGTTTCACCATGTTGGCCAGGCTGGTCTCAAATTCTTGGCCTCAAGTGATCCACCTGCCTCAGCCTCCCAAAGTGCTGGGATTACAGGCATGAGCCACCACACGCGACCTCTTAATTCATTTCTGATTTTGGTAAGGCCTCTCATATTAACTTGGTCAGGCTAGCTAAAGGTTTGTCAATTTTACTAGGTCTTTTAAAGAAGTAAATTTTAGTTCAATTGAGTCTATTATTTTTCTATTCTCTATTTTAATCTCCACTGTCTTTTTCTGCACAATTTGTGCTCTTTTTGCTCTTATTTTTCCATTACCTTAAGCTATAAAAATAGGTTATAATGTAAAATTTTATTCTTTTTCACGTAGGTGTTTATGGATATAAAATCGTATCTAATCACTGCTTTCACTGCACCCCATAAGTTTATTATGTGTGGTTTTTACATTCAGCTGGAAATATTTTCTAATTTTCCTTGTGGTTTCTTTGTTCACCCATTCCTTGTTCAAACGTGTATTCTTTAATTTCTAAATATTTGTGAATTTTTCACTTTTCTTTCTTTTCTTGATGTCTACTTTCATTCTGATGTGGTCAGAGAAGAAATTTTTTGTATTTACATACTTTTAAAATTTATTTAGACCTTCTTTATTGGCCTAATACATCGTTTTCCCTGGAGAATATTCCATGTGCACTTCAGAAGAATGTGTAATCTCCTGTTGTTGGATGGAGACTTCTATGTATGTCCATTTGGTCTTGTCAGATTATAGTGCTGTTCAAGTTCTTTATTTCTTTACATTTCTTCTGTATAATTGTTCTATTATTGAAAGCTGATATTGAAGTCTCCAACTATTATTCTTGAACTGTCTATCCCTCCCTGCAATTTTATCGGTTTTTTCTTCATATGATTTGTTGCTGTGTTGTTAGCTATGTATGCTTTTTGATGGTTTAGTCCTTTATCAATATTTACTATCTTTCTTTGCCTCTTAAATCCATTTTTACTTTTAAGGTCTATTTTGTCTGATATTAATATAACTACACCAGCTCTCTTTCTGCTACTATTTTCATTAAATATATTTTTACATTATTTCACTTTCAACCTGTTTGTGTCTTGATCTAAAAGTGAATCTTTAGGTTTATTTTTTTTTTCCTGAAGTTACCATTAGGTGCAAATAACATCTTATATCCTATTATTTTAAACTGATGGTAATTTAACTCTAATTGAAAAGTAAAGAAACTAAAAAATAAGCAAGCAAAAAACTAATAAAAGCTCCACACTTTTTAACTTGTTTCATTTCTATTTACATATTATCATAATACATATATCTTAAAATGTTGTTGCAGTTATTATTGATAGGTTTGCCTTTTCATCTTCATACTCAAGATGAGTAGTTTACACACCACAATTACAGTGTTATACTATTCTGTATTTGTCGGTGTACTTACTATTACCAGTGACTTTTGTACCCCAGGATGAATATGTGTTGCTCATGAATGTCTTTTTCTTTTGTACTGCAGAACTTTTAGCAGGAGGAGTTCTGTCCTTTTAGCAGGAGGAGTTCATCAACATCAGATCTTTCAGGGCAGGTCTGATGTTGATGAACTCCTTCAGCTTTTGTTTGTCTAAGAAAGTCTGTCTAAGCTTTTGTTTGTCTAGGAAAGTCAGCTGCCAGACATATTAAGAATCCTTCATGTGTTATTTGTATCTTTTTCCTTGTTGCTTTGAGCATCCTTTCATTATCCATGACCTTTGGGAGTTTGATTCTTAAATGTCTTCAGTTAGATCTGCTTGGTGTTCTATAACCTCCTTGTACTTGAATACTAGTATCTTTCTCTGGTTTGGAAAGTTATCTACTATTATCTCTTTGAATAAACTTTCTACCCTTATCTCTTTGCCTCCTTTTTGAGGCCAATAACTTACATTTGCCCTTGTAGGTGTGCTTCATTCCTTTTTTTTTTTTTTGTCTCCTTTGGACTGTGTATTTTCAAATAGCCTGTTTTCAAGCTCACTCATTCTTTCTTCTGCTTGATCAATTCTACTGTTGAGAGACTCTGATGCATTCTTCAGTTTATCAATTGAATTTTTCAGCTCTGGAATTTCTGCTTGATTTTTTAATTATTTCACTTTCTTTGTTAAATTTATCTGGTAGCATTCTGTATTTCTTCTCTGTGTTATCTTGAATTTCATTGACCATTTCAAACAGTTATTTTGAACTATCTCTCCGAAAGGTCACACATCTCTTTCACCCCTGGATTGATCATTGTTGTCTTATTTAGATTTTGTTTTTATTTTTGATGAGGTCCTGTGTTCCTGGATGGTCTTGATCCTTCTTTTAAATGTTTTTCAATGTCTGGGCATTGAAAAGTTAAGTATTTATTCTGATCTTCACAGTTTGGGCTTATGTGCTCTTGTCCTTCTTGAGAAGAATTTTTTCAGTTATTCAAAGGGAATTGAGCATTGTAATCTAAGACTTTGATCACTGCAGCCATATCTGTATTAGGAATATCCCATGCTCAGTAACTGTGACTCGCAGACTCACAGAGGTACCAACTTGGTGGTCTTGGTTAAAATCAGGGAGATTGCCTGGATTACTAGGCAAAGTCACTTGTTCTCTTTCCTTACTTTTTCCCAAGCAAATTAAGCCTCTTTCTCTGTGTTGAGCTGCCTGGAATTGAGGAGGGTGTGATACAGGCACTCCCATGGCATTCACCACTGGGACTATGTTGGTTCACAACTAAAGCCAGCACACTATTTGTTTTCACCCAAGGATGGTGATAACTAGTGCCTGTCTACTGCTAATGTTTATTCAAGGCCCAAGGGCTCTCTAGCCAGCAGGTGGTGACTATTGCCAGGCATATGTCTTTCCCTTCAAGGCAGTAGAGTCCCTTCTATCCCAGGGTGTGTCTAGAGATGGCACGTGGGAGCTGGGGCATGGAATCAGGAACTTTAGGAATATACTGTGTACTTTGTTTTACTGTGGCTTAACTGGTACCCAATTTGAAAGACAATTTTTTTTTTTTACTCTTCCCTATCCTTTCCTCAAGTAGGAGTCTCACCCCATGATCGCTACTGTCCCAGTGCCATGGATACTACTACCTGGCAGCCACTGGTGTTTATTCAAGGCCCAAGGGCTTTTTAGTCAGCAGGTAGTGACTCCTGCCAGGCCTAGATCTCTCCTTTGAGGGCAGCAAGTTCCCTTCTGGCCCACATTTGGTCTATAAATGCCATCAAGGAGCTAAGGCCTGGAATTGGGGATCTTAAGAGTTTGCTTGTTGATTTTACTGTACTGAGCTGGTACCCAAGTGAAAAGCCAAAGTCCTTTTTACTCTTCCCTCTCTTTTTCTCAAGAAGAAATCTCTCCCAATGGCTACTACAGCTGGGAATGTGCTGGGTCACACTGTGACTGAGCTGGTACTCAAGGTGAAAGCAAAAGTCCCTTTTTTCTTCCCTCTCCTTTCCTCAAGCAGAAGTCTCTTCCAAGGACCACCACAGCTGAGAATGTGCTGGGTCACAAATGAAGCCAATATGGCATTAGGTCTCATCCAAGTCCTATGGTGATTACTACCTAGCTATCATTGATGTTTATTCATGGCTGAAGGGTTCTTTAGTCAGCAAGTGATAAATCCTGCCAGGACTGGGTCCTTCCCCTTGGAGTAGCAGGTTTCCGTGATGCCCAGAGTGGATCTAGAAATGCTGTCTGGGAGGTGGGGCCTGGATGGGGTCTTTAGGGCTCTGCTTGGTGATTTATTTTACTGTAGCTCAACTGGTCTCCAGATTGCAAGATAAAGTTCTCTACTTTTCTCTTTCCCTACCTCAAGCATAAGGAGTCTCTCCCACAGCTGCAAGCAGCACGGCCTGAAGTTGCAGGAGGGGTGACAGTGACACAAGCACTCCTTAGGCTGCTCCAGATCTCACTGGGTTGCATCCACCCCAAGTCCACTGACTTTGAGCCCAGAACAGCACCAGGACTTACCCAGGAACTACAGTCTTTGTGACCTAGACTGCTTTTCAAATTTTAGGATCCCATAACACTTTAGCCTGCAATGCTGGGGCTAGCCATAACTCAAGTTCCAGTCTAATCACTTGTTTAAGTGCTCCCTCTATGGACCCAGTATAAATTCTGCCTTGTGTTGATTTTTGCTGTGACAGGTCGGCACTGCGTTCCAATGTGAAGTCCTACAATCACTTTGCTTTCCCCTCCCTCAAGCACATAGATTATCCCTGCCCCAATGTGGCACCGTGGGCAATGGGGGCGGGTAGTGTAGGCAATTTAAGACTGTCTCTCCTACCCTCTTCAGTGGCTCCTTTCTTGATATGAAGTTCAAACCAGGTGCTGTCGTAACTCACCTGGTTTTGGTTCATATTAGGGTGCTTTCTTGTGTGAAGAGTTGTTTAACTTGGTGTTCCTGCAGGGGAGGCGAGACCATCATTGGAGGTTCTCTTCGGCCATCTAGCTCCAAGGTCTTATTCATTTTTGCCAACACCAATGTCCTGAATCAGTTTCCCTATGTTTTTTTCTAGCAGTTTCATAATTTCAGGTTTTATGTTTTGGTCTTTAATCCATTTTGATTTTATTTTTATATATGGTGATAGACAGTGGGCTAGTTTCATTCTTCTGCATGTGGATATCTAGTGAAATCAGGCTTTTAAAGGAATATCAGCACTTACATGTTTATTGTAGCACTATTTACAAATATGGAAACAATCTAAATAATCACCTACAATTGAATAAAGAAACTGTAGTTTACACATATAAAAATATTGTTAAGAATTAAAAATGAAATATATCCTGTTGTATGTGACAAAAGCATGAATAAACCTAGAGTGCATTATGTTAAGTGAAATTAGCCAGTCACAGCAAGATATGCTACATGATTCCACTTATATAAGGTGTCTAAAATAAACTCATAGAAACGGGGAGTAGATTGCTGGTTGCCAGGAAGTGGGAGTGGGGACAATGGAGAATTGCTATTAATTGGGTATAAAATCTCAGTTATATATGAATAATAAGTTACGGAGATCTGCTATACAACATCGTGCCTAAAGTTGACAAAAGGCTATACTGTGCACTTAAAAATTTCTTAAAAGGGTAGATCTCATATTAAGTGTTCTTGCCATTATACAAAACAATCAACTGACAACATATGAAAAATTATATCAGCAGCCTGCAAATGAAAACATTCTTATTGAAAGCAGTAGCAGAGAGGCTACAGCTATTTGTGTCTTAACAAAGAACAATTATTGCCTTGCAAAAGAGGAAGTAATCTCCAAAAATAAATGTGGAAAATAGCTACACGGATAAGGGTAGAATATTTGAAGCATGAGGTATTTTTCTAGTACTCCTTTAATTACACTCCGCCTACTTAAAAGATACAACAAGAAGTCTTAAGGAAAGATAGAAGCATTATTGTCACAGGGTTTAAAACCAAATGCTGGTTGGCAAAACTCCCTTTAGATATTTGGACCTGATCTTAACATAAATACTTCTCCTATATATACAGAGGAACAACTAGCTACGTACGAAATTACTAGTTACTTAATTATTGCCCAAAGGAAAATATGTCTCACACATATAAACACAATATTCATCAGTAGTCTACATATTGAGATTAAGGGTACAGTTTTTGTAAGAAATTGTTTTTTATAATTTACAGAATACATTATGGCTTATTGGATATAGTATTATTATACTACTGTATACAAAATCTACCATCATCTATGGCTTATTGGATATATTACCGCTGTAGCACTTATTATGTTCCATCTTAGATTATAGTTATTAGTATACAAATTTTATGTTATATACTAGAGTGTAAGCAACTTAAAAGCAGTTGTTTTATACACCTTTTTCTGTGTCAAGGTGTCTTGCATGTATTATGCATTCTAAATGTTTATTGAATTCATCAATAGAGTAGTTGTTTCGGGGAATTTTTACTTTTAAGTGTGTTTGGTTCTCTAAATATGAGAAGAATTTGCAGCAATACACTTTCTTGGTTTTTATTTACTGTGTTGTATAAGTGCAAAAATCTTGCAGTCAGAATTATTTTACCTTCTTTAACAATAGTGGAAGCATCTTGATATATAAAATTGAATCCAGAGTGTCAAATCAAAACACTGCTGTAAAGTGAGCAAGATTGAGCCGATGGGAAGATACAAAGCTCAAAGAATCACAACTAAGGCTGTCAACGTAACAGGATTTTCATGGTTTTCTGTTGTAGAAAACATTGCCTTCAAGTCTCACAAAATGCTTCCAGAACAGGCATTGACAAACTATGGCTAGTGGGCCAAATCCAGTCACTCATCCATTGTGTAGGGTTTGTGAGCTAATAATGGACTTCACATTTTTATATGGTTAAAATAAAAAGAGGTAAATAAACAATTATACAACTCAAAATTCAATGTCCATAAATGTGGTTTTATTGCGACCCTGTCACACTTATTCATGTATGTGTTATCTATGGCTGCTTTCAAGCAAAAATCAAAGTTGAGTGCTTGTAACAGAGACCTTATCGCTTGTAAATCCTGAAATATATACTCTTTGTCCCTTTAGAGATGTTTACCTACTACTGTCCCACAACATGCATTGCAATCATGCTTCACAGTGTGCTTCTATAATATCCAACAAAGACTTTAAAGTTTTTATTACCCTATTTTAAAATATTTTCTTAGTTTGTTTTTACCACAATCCAAATAAGACAATGATGTATCAAATGGATTCTCAAATTTCTCTATCCACTCCTTGGATTACTAGAAAATGTTAGTTTCTAAACATTACTATTCCAGAAATCCACTTTAGGAAATGAAGGAAGGATGTTTCTAATTGACTGGATTATGGAGATATGTGGAAATCTCTGCAAATGAGAAATTAAATGAAAGGATAGAAAAAACAATTTATAGCTCTTATGAAATAGCTAACTGAGTCAATAAACAATGACTAAGTAATTAGAAGGCAGTTTGTTTGTTTGTTTTGTTTGTTTTTTGAGATGGAGTCTCGCTCTGTTGCCCAGACTGGAGTACAGTGGCCGAACTCGGCTCACTGCAACTTAAGAGGTAGTTTTAATCACCTCTAAGCAACTATGCTTAAATATACACGTAATAATACATTACCATATAAGATGATTGAGGTGTGATAAAAATTATTCAAAAATATGAAATAATGTTAATATTTATTGAACACATATATGTGAGCCACTTTTCCAAAAACTTTGCATTTATTCCCTCAGTTATTCTTCCACACAGTCATATAACATAGGTACATGTACCGTCCTCATTTTACAAATGAGAGAAACTGAGGCTTAAAGAGGTTAAACAGATCACTCCAGTCACAACAGCAAATAAATGGCAGAACTGGCATTTGAACTCATATATTCTGATTCTAGAATGCAACTTATTGTGCCTTTTTAGATAGGGTGTGATCGCAAAATGCCCTAGAACAAAAACACATTTTACTTGGGGTAGACATGGGGCCATAAATAGCTTTTATGTAGAAAACTGAGAAACAGTAAGGCCCAAAGTGGCCCATGATCTTTAAGCAATTTCTTAGACAAGATGGGGAATTTCCAAGGCATCTGTGGATTTCCTAGGCTTTTAGAGGCCCTGTAGTTTCAAGTTGCAATTTGAGTCCTTGAGACAATTCTTAATGACCAATAGAAGGGATGGCTCCACATGCCCAGAGCCAGGAGAATGGAAGGGCATGATCCCTTACGGCACAAAGTGTCTATTGGGATAAAGAAAGAGGACTGTGATCCCTTCCTAATTCAAATTTATATCCATGTACCCAACAAATATTTTCAAAATAACTTTTAAAACCGTATCTATCACATTTTAAAATAACTTTTAAAACCGTATCTATCACATTTTAAAAGACTGAATATTCCCATTAATTTATTTTTAAAACTGGTGCTTTTGGAAATGTGAATATAAATAAAACAGAAGATTGAAGCAAAAAAAATAATAAACATTTTAGGTTGGTAAGCATGACTTAAAGATTAATTACATTGTTAATGTCAAGTAATTGATTTGTTCTTTTAGCATATAAGACATCGCATCAGAGTACTGTTTCATTCCCATTCATTTCATAAAAGAAATGATGTCTGGTATTTTGAGCAGATTGATTACAAACTGACATAGAAAATAATGATTCTTCTAAAGAGAACTAACCATAAACTACAAAGTCACACATTGCTGCTATCCATAAAAGTTGCCAATTGTTCTCTACATCTGGAGCCAGCAGAATAAGGAAAATCAAAAGACAAGAAGAAAACTGTCTTGTATTTACCATAGCAGCAAAACAATTTCTATTCACTGGGTACACAATCTCAGTTATAAAAGAATAATAAGCTCAGGCCTGACTTTTCAGTGATATCTAAATCAATCATAGATCTTGATTGAAAAAACTAATATTAACAAATTTGAATTGCTGCTTTTCAGTCACAGTTTATTCTAAAAATCAACCAAGTATATTTTTATGATGGCATATAATTTTACATGTTTTGTAGACCAAGTTTATTTTCTCACGGTTATTTCTACTTTGTCAGTATCTAGGCTGTCCTTATGGATTCTCTGCTCATCTGTTCAAAGTGTTATATTTGCTGGATTGCCTGGAAGATATTCAGTGAAACTAACTGTCAGTCACAATAAAGCGCATCAGGCTTTCCCCTTCCTTTTTGAATACCTGGCTTCTATTAGTGCCCCTCCATTATCAAAAAAATCCTGCATGATCAAATACAGTTGCATATATAAAGAAGACTGACTAGGAAAAGAGAAAACTTACTCTGCCATGTGATATGGCACATGGTAGCACTTTCTCAGAATCTCAGAATGGTTCTCAAAGAGGTCCAATGTGAAGCTGTTTTGTTTTGTTTTGTTTTGTTTTGTTTTGTTTTGTTTTTATTATTATACTTTAAGTTTTAGGGTACATGTGCACAATGTGCAGGTTAGTTACATATGTATACATGTGCCATGCTGGTGTGCTGCACCCATTCACTCATCATTTAGCATTAGGTATATCTCCTAAAGCTATCCCTCCCCCCTTCCCCCACCCCACAACAGTCCCCAGAGTGTGATGTTCCCCTTCCTGTGTCCATGTGTTCTCATTGTTCAATTCCCACCTATGAGTGAGAATATGCGCAGTGTTTGGTTTTTTGTTCTTGTGATAGTTTACTGAGAATGATGATTTCCAATTTCATCCATGTCCCTACAAAGGACATGAACTCATCATTTTTTATGGCTGCGTAGTATTCCATGGTGTATATGTGCCACATTTTCTTAATCCAGTCTATCATTCTTGGACATTTGGGTTGGTTCCAAGTCTTTGCTATTGTGAATAGTGCTGCAATAAATATACGTGTGCATGTGTCTTTATAGCAGCATGATTTATAGTCCTTTGGCACCACACCACACCACACCTATTCCAAAATTGACCATATAGTTGGAAGTAAAGCTCTCCTCAGCAAATGTAAAAGATCAGAAATTATAACAAACTGTCTCTCAGACTACAGTGCAATCAAACTAGAACTCAGGATTAAGAAACTCACTCAAAACTGCTCAACTTCATGGAAACTGAACAACCTGCTCCTGAATGATTACTGGGTACATAATGAAATGAAGGCAGAAATAAAGATGTTCTTTGAAACCAACGAGAACAAAGACACAACATACCAGAATCTCTGGGACACATTCAAAGCAGTGTGTAAAGGGAAATTTATAGCACTAAATGCCCACAAGAGAAAGCAGGAAAGATCCAAAATTGACACACTAACATCACAATTAAAAGAACTAGAAAAGCAAGAGCAAACACATTCAAAAGCTAGCAGAAGGCAAGAAATAACTAAAATCAGAGCAGAACTGAAGGAAATAGAGACACAAAAAACCCTTCAAAAAATTAATGAATCCAGGAGCTGGTTTTTTGAAAGGATCAACAAAATTGATAGACCACTAGCAAGACTAATAAAGAAGAAAAGAGAGAAGAATCAAATAGACGCAATAAAAAATGATAAAGGGGATATCACCACCGATCCCACAGAAATACAAACTACCATCAGAGAATACTACAAACACCTCTATGCAAATAAACTACAAAATCTAGAAGAAATGGATAAATTCCTCGACACGAACACCTTCCCAAGACTAAAACAGGAAGAAGTTGACTCTCTGAATAGACCAATAACAAGCTCTGAAATTGTGGCAATAATCAATAGCTTACCAACCAAAAAGAGTCCAGGACCAGATGGATTCAAAGCCGAATTCTACCAGAGGTACAAGGAGGAACTGGCACCATTCCTTCTGAAACTATTCCAATCAATAGAAAAAGAGGGAATCCTCCCTAACTCATTTTATGAGGCCAGCATCATCCTGATACCAAAGCTGGGCAGAGACACAACCAAAAAAGAGAATTTTAGACCAATATCCTTGATGAACATTGATGCAAAAATCCTCAATAAAATACTGGCAAACCGAATCCAGCAGCACATCAAAAAGCTTATCCACCATTATCAAGGGGGCTTCATCCCTGGGATGCAAGGCTGGTTCAATATACACAAATCAATAAATGTAATCCAGCATATAAACAGAACCAAAGACAAAAACCACATGCTTATCTCAATAGATGCAGAAAAGGCCTTTGACAAAATTCAACAACACTTCATGCTAAAAACTCTCAATAAATTAGGTATTGATGGGACGTATCTCAAAATAATAAGAGCTATCTATGACAAACCCACAGCCAATATCATACTGAATGGGCAAAAACTGGAAGCATTCCATTTGAAAACTGGCACAAGACAGGGATGCCCTCTCTCACCACTCCTATTCAACATAGTGTTGGAAGTTCTGGCCAGGGCAATTAGGAAGGAGAAGGAAATAAAGGGCATTCAATTAGGAAAAGAGGAAGTCAAATTGTCCCTGTTTGCAGATGACATGATTGTATATCTAGAAAACCCCATTGTCTCAGCCAAAATCTCTTTAAGCTGATAAGCAACTTCAGCAAAGTCTCAGGATACAAAATCAATGTGCAAAAATCACAAGCATTCTTATACACCAATAACAGACAAACAGAGAGCCAAATCATGAGTGAACTCCCATTCACAATTGCTTCAAAGAGAATAAAATACCTAGGAATCCAACTTACAAGGGACGTGAAGGACCTCTTCAAGGAGAACTACAAACCACTGCTCAAGGAAATAAAAGAGGATACAAACAAATGGAAGAACATTCCATGCTCATGAGTAGGAAGAATCAATATCGTGAAAATGGCCATACTGCCCAAGGTAATTTATAGATTCAATGCCATCACCATCAAGCTACCAATGACTTTCTTCACAGAATTGGAAAAAACTACTTTAAAGTTCATAGGGAACCAAAAAAGAGCCCGCATCACCAAGTCAATCCTAAGCCAAAAGAACAAAGCTGGAGGCATCACACTACCTGACTTCAAACTATACTACAAGGCTACAGTAACCAAAACAGCATGGTACTGGTACCAAAACAGAGATATAGATCAATGGAACAGAACAGAGCCCTCAGAAATAATGCCGCATATCTACAATTATCTGATCTTTGACAAACCTGACAAAAACAAGCAATGGGGAAAGGATTCCCTATTTAAAAATGGTGCTGGGAAAACTGGCTAGCCATATGTAGAAAGCTGAAACTGGATCCCTTCCTTACACCTTATACAAAATTAATTCAAGATGGATTAAAGACTTAAACGTTAGACCTAAAACCATAAAAACCCTAGAAGAAAACCTAGGCATTACCATTCAGGACATAGGCATGTGAAGCTATTTAGGTTTTAAAAACAAAAGTTGTCATTTGACAACTTTGTATTATTTCAATGAAGTTACAATTATTTTTAAATGAGTCCAATATAAAAGCTATATAAAACATTATATCTTCAGGAAAATTAGCCACAAATGTGACATGTGTGTGTGTATGTGTCTGTGTATCCATTTAAGAACTTTTTAACCGCTGTAGAGACCACTGTTAATGAGAAAGTGATATTAGAATTAAGATATTCTCATATTGAGGTTTACCTGTACATGAAGACATCCAGTACCTAGAATGCAAAAATTGGTATTTGTCTGATGTTTGTATTTGGGAATAATCATATTGTGTTCAAATTGCAAAGTTCACAACTACTTTGATCAGGCAATGGTATAAATATAAATTAATATATTTTTAAATAAAATGAAATATTTAATATAAAACTTTTAGTAAATGTTTCATTAACTAATTATTGATTGATAACATTTGAATTACATTGAGTCAAAGTATGATAATTGTATTCTTATTTCTTTATTTGCACTTGGTAAAACTTAAGAATGTAAATGTATTGATTTCTACTTTTTGTTTCAAGTCTGTCCTCCACAAACACTGTCAAATATACTACAAACCGCCAGAGCTAACCACATTATCAAAGCCCAAACTGAATATTATCATTTTTTAATATTACTTTATTTATTTTTAATTATTGTGGATACACAGTAGGTGCACATATTTAGTGTGTACATGAGAAGTTTTGTTACAGGCATGCAATGTGAAATAAGCACATCACAGAGAATGGGGTGTCCATCCCCTCAAGCATTTATCCTTTGAGTTGCAAATATTCCAAATACATTCTTAAAGTTATTTTAAAATATACAATTAAGTTATTATTAGCTATAGTCACCCTATTATGCTATCAGATAGTAATTCTTATTTATTCTTTCCATTTTTTTGTACCCACTAACCATCTGTACCTCCCCTGGATCCCTCACTATCCTTCCCAGCCTCTGGTAACATCCTTCTACTCTCTATGTCCATGAGTTCCATTGATTTAATTTTTACCTCCTACTAATAAGTGAGAAAATGCCATGTTATATATATATATATATATAATTTAACAGTTTCTTTATCCACTCGTTGATTGATGGGCATTTGGGTTCATTCCATAATTTTGCAATTGCAAACAGTGCTGCTATAAACATGCATGTGCAAGTATCTTTTTTGAATAACAACGTCTTTTCCTCTGGGTAGATACCAAGTAGTGGGATTGCTAGATCAAATTGTAGTTCTTCTTTTAGTTCTTTAAGGAATCTCCACACTGTTTTCCACAGTGGCTGTACTAGTTTACATTCCCACCAGCAGTGTAGAAATGTCCCCTGATCACCACATCAATGCCAACATCTGCTGTTTTTATTTTTATTTTTATTTTTTGATTATGGCCTTTCTTGCAGGAGTAAGGGGGTATTGCATTGTGGTTTTGATTTGCATTTCCCTGATCATTAGTGGTGTTGATCATTTTTTATATGTTTGTTGGCCATTTGTGTATCTTCTTTTGAGAATTCTCTATTCATGTCCTTAGCCCACTTTTTGATGGGATTGTTTTTTTCTTACTGATTTGTTTGAGCTTGTTGTAGATTCTGGATATTAGTCCTTTGCCAGATGTACAGATTGTGAAGATTTTCTCCAACTCTGTGGATTGTCTGTTTACTCAGGTGACTGTTTTTTTGCCATGCAAAAGCTCTTTAGATTAAATAAGTCCCAAGCTATTTGTTTTTATTGCATTTGCTTTTGAGTTCTTGATCATGAAATCCATGCCTAAGCCAATGTCTAGAAGAGTTCTTCCTATGTTAACTTCTAGAATTTTTAGTTTCAAGTCTTAGATTTAAGTCCTTAATCCCTCTTGAGTTGATTTTTGTAGAATATGAGAGATGAGGATTCAGTTTCATTCTCCAACATGTGGCTAGCCAATTATCCCAGCAACATTTGTTGAAAAGGGTGTCCCTTCCCCACTTTATGTTTTTGTTTGCTTTGTGGAAGATCAGTTGGCTGTAAATATTTTGATTTATTTCTGGGTTCTCTCTTCTGTTCCATTGGTCTATGTGTCTATTTTTATACCAGTACCATGCTGTTTTGGTGACTATGGCCTTATAGTATAGTTTGAAATCAGGTAGTGTGATGACACAAGATTTCTATTTCTATCTATCTATCTATCTATCTACCTATCTATTTATCTATCTGTCTATCTATCTATGCTTAGCCTTGCTTTGGCTATGCAGGCTCTTCTTTGGTTCCCTATGAACTTTCGAATTGTTTTCTCTAATTCTGTAAAGAATGATGGTAGTATTTTCATGGGGATTGTGTTGAATTTGTAGATTGCTTTTGGCAGTATGGTCATTTTTGCAATATTTATTCTACCCATCTGTGAGCATGGGATGTTTTTATTTGTTTGTGTCATCTATGATTTCTTTCAGCAGTGTTTTGTAGTTTTCTTCATAGAGGTCTTTTGGTTAGGTATATTCCTAAGTTTAATTTTTTTTTGCAGCTATTGTAAAAGGGGTTGAGTTATTGATTTGATTCTCTGCTTGGTCACTGTTAGTGTATAGAAGAGGTACTGATTTGTGTACATTAATCTTGTATCTGGAAACTTTGTTGAATTATTTTATGATTTCTAGGAGCTTTTTGGAGGAGTCTTTAGGGTTTTAGAGTTGAGGTAAATGGTTATATCGTCAGTAAAGAGTGACAGTTTGACTTCCTCTTCACTGATTTGGATGCATTTTATTTCTTTCTCTTGTCTGATTGCTCTGGCTGGGACTTCCAGTACTATGTTGAAGAGGAGTGATGAGAGTAGGCATCCTTGTCTTTTTCCGGTTCTCAGAAGGATGCTTTCAACTTTTCCCCATTCAGTATTATTTTGGCTGTGGGTTTATCATAGACAGGTTTTATTACATTGAGGTATGTCCCTTGTATGCCAATTTTACTGAGAGTTTGAATCATAAAGGGATGCTGTATTTTGTTGAATGCTTTCTCTGTATCTATTGAGATGATCATGTGATTTTTGTTTTTAATTCTTTTTATGTGGTTTATCACATTTATTGAATTGCAGATGTTAAACCATCCCTGCATCCCTGGTATGAAACCCATTTAATCATGGTGGATTTTTTTTCGATATTTTGTTGCATTCAGTTAGCTACTATTTTGTTAAGGATTTTAGCATCTATGTACATGAGGGATATTGGTCTGTAGTTTTCTTTTTTGGTTAAGTCCTTTCCTGCTTTTGATATTAGAGTAATGCTGGCTTCATCAAATGAATTAGGGAGAGTTCCCTCTTTCTCTATCTTGTGAAATAGTGTCAAAATGACTGGTACTGATTCTTCTTTGAATGTCTGGTAAAATTCTGCTGTGAATCCATCTGGTCCTGTACTTTTTTTTGTTGGTAATTATTAAATTACCATTTCAATCTCGCTGCTTGTTATTGGTCAGTTCAGAGTATCTAATTCTTCCTGATTTAAGCTAAGAGAGCTGTATTTTTCCAGGAATTTATCCATCTCTTTGCTTCAATCATATTACTTGTTATTGGTCGGCTCAGGTTTTGAATTTCTTCCTGGTTAAATCTTGGTAGGTTGTATGTGTCTAGGAATTTGACCATTTCTTCTTTATTTTCCAATTTATTGGCATTTAGTGTCCCATAGCAGCCACTAATGATCTGTTGAATTTCTGCAGTATAAGTTGTAATATCTAGTTTTATTTTTGATTTTATTTATTTGGATCTTCTCTATTTTTCTTAGTCTGGCTAAAAATTTGTCAATTGTGTTTAACTTTCCAAAAAACCATCTTGTTGTTTCATTGATCTTTTGAATTGTTTTCTTCATTTCAATGTTATTCCTAAGGTCATCTTTATTATTTTTTTCTAATAATTTTGGATTTGGTTTTCTTTTCTTTCCTAGTTCTTCAAGATGCATCTTTAGATTGTTTATGTGAAGTCTTTCCTCTTTTTTATGTAGGCACTTAAAGCTATAAACTTTCCTCTGACTACTGCTTTTTCTGTATCCCAGAGGTTTTAGTATGTTGTGTTTCCACTATTGTTTTTGTCAATTTCTTTTTTAGTTTCCTTATAAATTTCCTCATTAACTCAGTGGTCATTCAGAAGCATATTGTTTAATTTCCATGTGCTTGTATAATTATCAAAATTCCTCTTGTTATTAAATTCTAGTTTTAATGCATTATTTTCAGAGAAGATCCTTCATATTGTTTAAAATTTTCAATGCGTGAAGACTTATTTTGTGACCTAACATACAGTCTATCCTTGAAAATAATCCATATGATAAAAAAAGAATGTGTGTTCTGCAGCTCTTGGATGAAATTGTTTCTAAATATGCATTAGATCCATTCAGTTTATAGTACAGATTAAATCTAATGTTTCTTTGTTGACATTCTGTCTGGAAAATCTGTCCAATGCTGAACATTGGGTGCTGAAGTTTTTAGCTATTATTATGTTGAGGCTCATATCTCTCTTAAGCTCTAATAATATTTCCTTTATAAATCTGGGTGCTACCATCTTGGATGCATATATATTTAACGTTGCTATTATGTATCCTTTTTAAAATTGATCATTTTATCATTATGTAGTGGCTTTTTTTCTTCTTATAGTTTCTGTATTTAATTCTATTTTGTCTGATATAAGTATAGCAACTCCTGCTCTTTTTTAGTTTCCATTGGCATGGGATATTCTTTTCTATCCCTTTATTTTCAGTCCATGTGTGTCTTTATAAGTGAAATGTGTTTCTTGTAGGCAAAAGATCAATAGGCAATTTTTTTCATCCATTCACTTAATCTATGTCTTTTGATTGGACAGTTTAGTCCATTTACATTCAATGTTATTATTGATAAGTAAAGACTTACTCCTGCCATTTTCTTATTAGTTTCCTGGTTGTTTTGTGATCTTCTCTCTTTTTTTTTTTTTCATTCTTTCTTCTCTTCCTCTAGTGAAGATTATTTTCTCTGGTGATATAATTTAGATTCTTGGTTTTTTTATGAATCCATGTATGTTTTTTGGTTTGAGGTTACCATGAGACTTGTTAATATTACCTTTATCAGATTATGTTAACCTGATAACAGCTTCACACCATTTTCATAAATAAATCAAATTGAAAATGAATTTAAACCCACCTTAACTTCATCCCCCAACTTTTTAACTTCTTATTGTTTCTATTTATATCTTATTGTACTGATTATGTCTTGAAAAGTTGTAGCTATTATTTTAGATTAGTTAATCATTTGGTCTTTCTACTTAGAATAAAAGTTGTTTACACAACACAGTTACAGTGTTATAATATTCTGTGTTTTTTTATGTACTTACTATTACCAGTAAGGTTTGTACCTTTAGGTGATTATTTATTGCTCATTAATCTCGCTTTTTGTTTGTTTGTTTGTTTTCCTGAAGTACTTCCTTCAGCATTTCTTGTAGACATGTCTGGTGTTGAGGGAAATCTTTAGCTTTTGTTTGTGTGAAAATGTCTTTATTTCTTCTTTATGTTTGAAGGACATATTCACCAGATATACTATTCTAGGGTAAAAGTTTTTTCAGTCAGCACTTTAAATATGCCATGCCACTCTCTCCTGGCCTGTAAAATTTCCACTGAGGAGTCTGCTGCCAGACATATCAGAGCTCCATTGTATGTTATTTGTTTCTTTGGCTGGTTTTAGGATACTTTCTTCATACTTGACCTTTGGGAGTCTTCTTTTTAAATGTCTTGAGGTAGTCTTATTTGTGTTATATATGCTTGGTGTTCTGTAACCTTCTTATACTTGGATATTGGAAAGTTTTCTCCAGGTTTGAGAATTTCTCTGTAATTATCTTTTTGATTAAAATTTCTACCCCATCTCTACCTTTTCTTTAAGGTGAATAACTTTAAGATCTGCCCTTTTAAATTTATTTTCTAAATCTTTTGTACATGCTTAATTTTTGTTTGTTTGTTTGTTTGTTTTTAGATGGAGTCTTGCTCTGTCACCCAGGCTGGAGTGTGGTGGCTCAACCTTGGCTCACTGCAAGCTCCACCTCCCGGGTTCACGCCATTCTTCTGCCTCAGCCTCCTGAGTAGCTAGGACTACAGGTGCCTGCCACCATGCCCAGCTAATTTTTTGTACTTTTAGTAGAGACAGGGTTTCACGTGTTAGCCAGGATGGTCTCGATCTCCTGACCTCATGATCCACCCGCCTCAGCCTCCTAAAGTGCTGGGATTACATGTGTGAGCCACCGTGCCTGGACAATTGTTTTTGTTTGTTTGTTTGTTTGAATTTTGTCTCTGTTTTAGTCTGTTTTCCCATGTCTGTAAAGAAGTGCTCAAGACTGAGTAATTTATGAATAAAAGAGGTTTAATTCAATCACAGTTCTGTATGGCTGAGGAGGCCTCAGAAAACCTACATTCATGGTGAAAGGGGAAGCAGGCACCTCTTAAACTGCAGCAGGCCAGAGAACACGTTTAAGAAGCAAAGGGGGAAGAGCCACTTATAAAACAATCAGATCTCGTGGGAACTCACTCACTGTCACAAGAACAGCATGGAAAAAACCACCCCATAATCAAATCGCCTCCCACCAGGTCCCTCCGTCAACACCTGGGAATTACAAATCAAGATGAGATTTGGATGGGGACACAAAGCCAAACCATATTATTCTGCCCAGGCTCCACCCAAATCTCATGTCTGAAACCAATTGTGCCTTCCCAACAGTACCCCAATTCTTAACTCTTTCCAGCGTTAACAGAAAAGTCTAAGTCTAAAGTCTCACCTGAGTCAAGGTAAGTCCCTTCCATCTAGGAGCCTGTAAAATCAAAAGCAGTTTATGTACTTCCAAGATACAACAGAGGTATAGGCATTGAATAAATGCTCCCCTTGCAAATGGAAGAAATTGGACAGAACAAAGGGGCTACAGGCCCCAGGCAAGTCTGAAATCCAGCAGGGCAGTCATTAAACCTTAAAGCTCAAAAATAATCTCCTTTGACTCCCTGTCTCACATCCAGGGCACATTGATGCAAAGGGTGGGCTCCCACATCCTTGAGCAGCTCCACCCCTGTGGCTTTGCAGGGTACAGCCCTTAGTCCTGGCTGCTTTCACAGCTGGTGTTGAGTGTCTGTGGCTTTTCCAGGTACATGGTGCAACCTGTTGGTGGATCTACCATTCTGTTGTCTGGAGGACTGTGTCCCTCTTCTCACAGATCCACTATCCAGTGCCCCAATGGGGACTCTGTGTGAGGGCTCCAACCCCACATTTTCCCTTTGCACTGCCCTGACAGAGTTTCTCCATGAGGGCTTTCTCCCTGCAGCAGCCCTCTGCCTGAACATCCAGGTGTTTCCATACATCCTCTGAAATCTAGGTGGAGGTTACTAAATCTCTATTTTTGACTTCTGTGCACCTGCAGGTCTAACACCACGGAAAAGCCACCAAGGCTTGGGGCTTACACCCTCTAAAACAATGGCCTGAGCTGTACATTGGCCCCTTTTACCATGGACTAAATGCAGGGCACCAAGCTGTCAGGCTACCCAAAGCGGCAAGACACTGTGCCCAGTCCATGAAACAATTTTTTCCTCATATGCCTCTGGTTCTGTCATGGGAAGGGCTGCTGTAAAGTTGTCTGACATCCCCATTGTTTTGGTGATTAACGTTTGGCTCCTCATTAGTTATGTAAATTTTTGCAGCCAGCTTGGATTTCTCCCTAGCAAGTAGGTTTTGTTTTGTTTTGTTTTGTTGTTTTTTGTTTTTGTTTTCCTATTGCATCGCCAGCCTGCAAATTTTCCAAACTATTATGCTCTGCTTCCCCTTTAAACATAAGTTCCGATTTCAGATCATCTCTCTCAAGTTCAAAGTTCCACAGATCTCTAGGGCGTGGGCAAAATGCTGCCAGTCTCTTTGCTAAAGCATAACAAGAGTCACCTTTACACCGGTTCCCAATAAGTTCTTCATCCACATCTGAGACCACCTCAGCCTGGACTTCATTGCTCACATTACTATCAGCATTTTGGTCAAAACCACTCAACAAGTCTCTAGGAAGTTCCAAACTTTCCCACATCTTCCTGTCTTCTTCTGAGCCCTCCAAACTGTTCCAACCTCTGCCTGTTATCCAGTTCCAAAGTCACATCCACATTTTTGGGTATCTTTATGGCAGTACCTCACTCTGTGGCACAAATTTACTTTATTAGTCCATTTTTACACTGCTACAAGGAACTACCTGAGATTGTGTAATTTATGAAGAAAAGTGGTTTAATTGACTCACAGTTCTGCATGGCTGGGAAGACCTCAAGAAACTTAACAATCATGTCAGAGGGGGAGGCAGGCACGTCTTACATGGCAGCAGGCGAGAGGGCATGTGTAGGAAGCAAAGGGGGGACAGCCCCTTATAAAACCATCAGATCTCATGAAACGCATTCACTATCATAGGAACAGCATGGCAAAATCGCCCCCAATATCCAATCACCTCCCACCAGGCCCCTCCTTCAACACTTGAGAATTCCAATTTGAGATGAGATTTTGGTGGGGACACAAAGCCAAACAATATCAGTCTCCTCTGACTGTGTATTTTCAAATAGTCTGTCTTCAAGCTAACTATTCATTTTTCTGCTTCTTTCTGCTACTAAATAACCCAGACATTCTTCAGTATGCCAATTGCATTTTCAGCTGCATAATTTATGCTGATTCTTTTTAATTCTTTTAATATCTGCTAAATTTATGTGATAGAATTCTGAATTCATTCTCTTTGTAATCTTGAATTTCTTTGAGTTTCATCAACACAGCTATTTTGAATTCTCTGTCTGAAATATCATGTCTTTCTCCAGGACTTAGTCACTAGTGCCATATTTAATTCATTTGGTGTTGTCATGTTTTCCTGAATGGCATTGATCCTAGTATGTGTTTTTTGGTGTCTGAGCATTGAAGGGTTAGGTATTTATTGTTGTTTTCACTGACTGGACTTATTTGTAGCCATCCTTCTTGGAAATGCTTTCCAGATATTTAAAAGCACTTGAGTGCTATGATCTAAGCTATATCTGCTTTGGTGTGGGGCCCCTTAAACCCTGTAATGCTGTGGTTCTTGAAGACTCATAGAGGTACTGCCTTGATGGTCTTGCACTAGATCCAGGAGAATTCTATTACCAGGCAGAGACTCTTGTTGTATTTTCTTACTTTCTCCCAAATATACAGTCTCTTTCTCTATTCTAAGCCACTGAATGCTTGGTGTGGACTGACACAAATACCCTTGTGGCCACCATCACTATAAATGTACTGGGTCAGACCTGAAGCCAGCACAGCACTGGGTTTCACACACGGCCTGCTGTAACTACTCCCTGGCTACTGCCTGTGTTCTTTCAAGGACTTGACTTGAAAGACAGCCAAGACTGTGTCTTTCCCTTCAAGGCAGTGAGGTCCCCCAGGCCCTAGGTGGGTCCAGGAGTACTGTCTGGTTGACAGGGACTACTGTCGAAACTCTTTAGAAACCTACCTGGTATTTTACTGTATTGTGGCTGAACTGGCACTCAAAACACAAGACGCAGCTCTTCCCACTCTTCCCTCCCCTTTCCAAAGGCAGAGGAACCTCACTCTGTAGCCACCACTACCCCTGGCCACAAGGTATACAGCCAGAATAGCACCAATGTTCTCTTAAGGCTCAAGGTCTCTTATGTCAGCTTGTGGTGAGTGCTCCCTGGCCTGTGACTCAACCTTCAGGGCAGTGGGCTCCCCTCTGGCCTAGGGCAGGTCCAGAAATGTGATCTAAGAGTCAAGTCCTGAAATCAGGGTCCCCAAGGATCCACATGGTGTTTCACCCTCCCTCCCCTGCTGATGTTGATACCTGAAGTCAAGAAGTCTCAGAGGCATACCTAGACCATAGAGGTAGTACCCGAGTATCACTGCTGGCTTATTCAGGGCTGAAGGGCTCTTCACTTAGCAGATGATGATGTCTCAGTAGGGCATATACCTCACAGTCCACTCTCTCTGATCCTAGTTCTGCCCTAGAATTCACCTATGAGTTGCAGTCCTTATGGCCTAGACTGCCTTTCAAGTTTAGAGACTGAGAGCATTTTGGCTCTTTGTGGCAATGTTTGTGGACCCTAGTTCAGACCCCTGGGACTGATGATTCCCCTCTGGCTAGGGCTGGTTTAAATGCTCCCTCTGTGGGTGGGCATCAGCTGAGTTTGGTCTGGGTTTCCTTTGTACTCTAACAAAACAACAGTGAGTTCAATGCCTTATAATTGCCGTGTTCTCCCTCCCCCAGCACCCAGAGAAGCTCTCTGCACCATGCTACCACTGCTGGGTGTTGGGGAGGGGTGGCATCTGAGATTCACAGCTATTTGTTTTCCATGCCTTCAGTGCCTCTTTCATGTACATGAAGTTAAAAGCAGGTATTGTGAGTGCTTCCCTGATTTTTGGTTCTTATGAAGGTGTTTTTTGGGTGTATATAGTTGTTAACTTGGTGTCCTTTTTTGGGAGGACAATTGGTGGAACTTTCCATTCCACCATCTTGCTCTGCCTCTCCTTCTATTTTTCCAAAACTGAATATTAAATATAGTAATGTTCTGCTGTATTAGTCCATTCTCACACTGCTATGAAGATTTTATCTGAAACTTGGTCATTCATAAACAAAAGAGGTTTAATCGACTCATAGATCCAAATGGCTGGGGAGGCCTCAGGAATCTTACAATCATAGTGGAAGGCAAAGGGGTAGCAGGCACCTTCTTCACAAGGCAGCAGGAGAGAGAGAGAATGCAGGGGAAACTGCCACTTTTAAATCATCTCCCGATAACTCCCTCACTATCATAAGAACAGTGTGGGGGAAACTGTCCCCATGATCAAGTCACCTCCCACTAGGTCCCTCCATGGATACAAAGGGATTACATTTCCAGATGAGATTTGGATGGGGACATTGAACCAAACAATATCATTCTGCCTCTGGCTCCTTCCAAATCTCATGTCCTTTTCACATTTCAAAACCAGTCATGCCTTCCCAACAGTCCCCCAAAGTCTTAACTCATTCTAGCATTAACCCAAAAGTCCAAGCTCAAAGTCTCATATGAGACAAGGCAAGTCCCTTCTGCCTAAGAGCCTGTAAAATCAAAAGCAAGTTATTTACTTCCAAGATACAATGGGGCTGCAGTAATTGAGTAAATGTTCCCATCCCAAATAGAAGAAATTGGCCAAAACAAAGGGGCCACATGCCCCATGCATGTCCAAAACAAAGGGGCCACATGACCCATGCATGTCCAAAACACAGCTGGGCTGTCATTAGATTTTAAAGCTCCAAAGTAATATTTTTTGGCTTTATGTCTTACATCAAGGGCATGCTGATGCAAGGTCTGGGCTCCCAAGGCTGCACAGTGCAGCAGGGTCCTGGGCCTGGTCTACAGAACAATTTGTCCTTCCTAGGCCTCCAGGCCTGTGATGAGAGGGGCTGCCACAAATATCTCTGACATGCCCAGGAGTCATTTTCCTCATTGTCTTAGCTATTAATATTGAGCTCCTTGATTCTTTTGCAAATTTCTGCAGCAGGCTTAAATTTCTCCCCAGAAAAGGGGTTCTTTTCTATCACATGGCCAGGCTGCAAATTTTCCAACTTTTATGCTCTGCTTCCCTTTTAAACATAAGTTCCAATTTCAAATCATCTCTTTGTGAACACATACAACTGTAAGCTTTCAGGAAAAGCCAGATCACCTCTTGAATGCTTTGCTACTTAGAAAATTCTTCTGCCAGATACCCTAAATCATCTCTCTCAAGTTCAAAGTTCCACAGATTTCTAGGGCAACAGCAAAATGCTGCTAGTTTCTTTGCTAAAGCACAGCAAGCTTGAATTTGGCTCTAGTTCCCAATGAGTTCCGCATCTCTATCTGGGACTACCTCAGCCTGGACTTCGTTGCTCACATTACTATCAGCATTTTGGTCAAAATGATTCAACAAGTCTCTAGGAAGTTCCAAACCTTCCCTCATCTTCCTATCTTTTTCTGAGCCCTCCAAACTGTTCCAAGCTCTGCCTGTTACCAAGTTCCAAAGTCGCTCCCACATTTTCAGGTTATCTTTATAGCAATGCCCCACTACCAGTACAAATTATCTGCATTGGTCCATTCTAACACTGCTATAAACATACTATCAGAGACTGGGTAATTCATAAACAAAAGAGATTTAATTGACTCACAGTTCTGCATGGCTGGGAAGGCCTCAGGAAACTTACAATCATAGTGGAAGGTGAAAGGGAAGCAAGCACCTTCTTCACAAGGTGGCAGGAGAGACAGAGAGAACGCAGAGGAAACTGCCACCTTTTTTTTTTTTTTTTTTTTTTGTGAGATGGAGTCTCTCTCTGTCACCCAGGCTGGAGTGCAGTGGCATGGGGATGATCTCGGCTTACCACAACCTCTGCCTCCTAGGTTCAAGTGATTCTCCTGCCTCAGCCTCCTGAGTAGCTGGGACTACAGGTGTGCACCACCACACCCAGCTAATTTTTTGTATTTTTAGTAGAGACGGGTTTCACCATGTTGGCCAGAGTGGTCTTGATCTCTTGACCTCATGATCCACCCCCCTCGGCCTCCCAAAGTGCTGGGATTACAGTCGTGAACCACCGTGCCTGGCCAAAACTGCCACTTTTAAACCATCAGATCTCATGAGAACACCCTCACTATCACAAGAACAGCACGGGGGAAACTGCCCCCATGATCCAATCACCTCCCACCAAGTCCCTCCCTCAACACATGGGGATTACAATTCCAGGTGAGATTTGGGTGGGGACTCAGAACCAAATCATAACAGCTACATAATAATGTTTCAGTCAACAATGGACTGCATATATGACAGTGGTTCCCTAAGATTATAATGAAGCTGAAAAATTCTTATAATCTGGTGATATCATAGCTGTCATAATGTCATAATGAAACACATTACTCAAATGTTTGTGATGGTGTTGGTGTAAAGAAACACTACACTGCCAGTTGTATAGCACATACAATTAGTTATATATAATATTTGATAATGATAATAAACAATGATGTTACTGGCTTATATATATACTGTATTTTACTTTGTATCATTATGGTAGAGTTTATTCCTTTATTCCTTCTACTTATTAAAAATAGTTAACTCTAAAGCAGATTCAGGCAGGGCCTTCAGGAGGTATTCCTGAAGAAGGCATTGTTATCATAAGAGATACAGCTCCATGTGTATGATTGCCCCAAAGGCCTTCCAGTGATACAAGATGTGGAGGTGGAAGACAGTGATATTGATTATATTGATTCTGTGTAGGTCTAGGATTATGCGTGTGTTTGTGTTTTCATTTTTAACAAGAATATTGAAAAGAGAAAATAAAAATGTAAAAAACAGAAAAATACTTATAGAATAAAGATATAACAACATTTCTTACAGCTGGAGAATGTATTTGTGTTTCAAGGTGTGTTACTACAAGCATCAAAAGTTAAAAATATAAAGTTAAAAAATATATAAAGTAAAATAATATAAAAGTTAAAAATATTAAGTAAAAAAGTTATAGTAAGCTGTAATTATTAAAAACATATTTTAATTAACTTAGTGTAGCCTAGGTGTACAGTGTTTATAATGTCTACAGCAGTGTACAGTAATGTTGTAGGCCTTCACAGTCACTCACCACTCAATCACTAACTCACCTAGAACAACTTCAGGTCCTGCAAGCTTCATTTATGGTAAGTGCCCTATGCAGATGTACCCTTCTTTAATCTTTGATATCATATTTTTACTGTCCTTTTTATTTTTAGACATGCGAATATGTACCATTGTGCTACAACTGCCTACAATATTCAGTACTGTAATATCCTACACAGGTTTGTAGCTATATAATATACCATATAGCCTACATGTGTAGGCTAGCCCATCTTGGTTTGTAAATACACTGTGATGTTCAGACGAAGACAAAATTGCCTAACAATACATTTCTAAAACTGTATTCCCATTGTTAAGTGATGCTTGACTATAATAAGAAAATGGCTCTTCATAGATGGAGATAAGGGTGAAAGGACTGACTAATCAATTTACCAGGGAAGAAGTTTACTAAATAGAGTAATGCTGCATGTTAGGATGTGCATTATTTTATTCGTGCATTATTATTTGCCATTAAGTACAGGATTGTTACTTTCCAGCACACCAGATGTTCTCATCAGATGTTGGTATCTCATCAGATGTTGGTAATGGCTAACACTGTCATAATGTGAGTTTTTGATGCAAAAAAATTACATATATATATAATAATCCTAGAGAAATAGCAAGTTATAAAAAAGTAATAAAAAAAAGTTGTTCAGTATTTCTGAGGCCCAGAATAAATAATTGGGTCCAAAAATCGGATGCATTGAGTAAAAAATAATGAAAAACTTACCAAGAATATTTTTAAGTAGAAAAAATAAAGTTACCTTCCAGATAAGAAGAAGACATTAAAGGAACTCTAGACCCTGGGGAGAAAAACATGGTATATTTTTTATTTTAAAATAGTGATTACAAAAAGGTTGAATAGAGGAAAAAAAACAGTTTTATGTCTTCTTTACCACATCTCATAAAGTGCAGCAGATACTGCAAAATGATGAAAATCTTCAGGACTGAAAGATTTTAGAAATACTAGTATGGCAACAGTCTAAAACAAAAATGACACAAATGTCTTAACCATTTATATACTGTATATTATACTGTATGTATAATATACAGAATCGAATTTGTATATTTCTGATTTCTTTGGGATTTGCTAATTTCGTGAACATTACAAATTATTTTATCTTCTATGCAGTACTTCCTTTCAAATGTTAATGTGTATTTTAGCCATAAATATTCATAAAATTTAAAAATGATGAAAAGTTTTATATTTTTTAACTTAATATTTGCCAAGTCTATGTTCCTGAATTAAATGTGAGAAAATGCAATGGTTTCAACAACAATGTCCAGCAAGAGAAGCAATTCAAATATAAGATTAAGTTCAGCTTTGAGGTCTGTGATATTGTTTCTCTAAATTTCCAAGTTTTCTAACAATAAATTCCTGAAGTTTAAGAGAAGGAAGGTGAAGGATTGAAAATGAAGGATGTGGAGATAAGTGAAACTCATAGCAAAAATTGCATGAATAATATATAGTGGCAGAATTTGAGACTTTTCTTTAGATCTTGCCACACGGTTCCAGGAAGCTACCACAAAATAAAGCTCTAATAAAAATGTGAGCTCCAATTGGGATTTCCCATGGTGATTGGTAGGAATGGAATTTACTAAACTTCCAAAGAAAGTTTTCTCATTTAATTAGATATTCTGAATATAGTAATATATCTCTAAAAATTAATTACCACTTTTTCCAAGGATATTTCTGATACCCTAAATTATGTTTTATGTCTGTTAATAAAAGGAACACTAAAAAACAAAAATTAGTGGAATAATTATAATAGCTTTCAAACACAAATACCAGTAATCCTAATAGTTCACACTCAGATATTTAGGCACAATCTTTATAACATAGTCAGTTTCAATGCAACCCTGACGTTATGACATAGTCATCCCTAACATATATGGGCTCAGAATAACATCCCCCTTTGATTCATGTGGACTTCTGTTGCACCCTGGAGACACTTTCTTGAAGGAAACCTACAGTTGAGATGCCTCTGCGTGTATCAATTCTTACTTCTGTTCATCCCATCTTAGGAAAGGAATTAAAATAATGAAGAAAGAAATAAGGAGTTAAGAAAGGGAGAAAGAGAAAAGCTCAGACTTTGGAAAATAACAGGAGCTTTGATGTTGTCTATGCCGAGCATAAAATGAAGATCTGAAGTGAGACTCTCAACCTTTTTATTCATGCGTTAGTATTTGGCATTAAGTACAGGATTGTTGCTTTCCAGCACACCAGATTCATGTACAGTTAAATGCGTGCCCTAAAAAGCATTTCTTAATGAAATACCAACTAAGTGATTTGAGGTTGCCTTCTTCTCAATTCTTAAAATGCTTGACATTAATTACAAGTACCATATAAATATAAAAATTTCCAATATCCCTCTTTTTTGGGATATTGTGATCTTAGTTTTTATCAAATGAGAAGAATGAGATTACAGCTACTGACACAGATAACTAAATAAATATGGGCATATTTTTAAAAACAAGTAAATTTAAAGGAAATCTCTTCATATTTACATTAGCCAAGTTTCATTTAAGCATTCCACTAGTAAAACAAAATATATTTAGTTAGTTATACCTTGATAACAGGGCATGGTTTTTGAAAGTGTAATCTTTTCTAAGAAGTGTGTATGTATATGTGTGTGTATCTACATCTATATATCGACCTATCTATATATATATTTATATAAACGTGTTAAATAGTATTGAAACTTTGAGGTGACTGTCATCGAATCATTGTTGTAATTTCCATTTAAAGTTGAAAACATAAAATCAAAACATTAATATAAAAATAAAATAATTTGAAGAAAACCTCCTTTAGAATTCAAATTAATATTATAAATAAACATTGTGTTTTATTACATCTTCTTGATTTAGTCAAACAGATGATGTGTTTTCAAAAAACACATTGCTCCAAGCCAATGATCTCTTGGTTTCCACATATTAACTAAGGCAAAAAGGCAGGGGAAACATCAAGCTATCTTTAGTGTACTCTTTTTCTCATAAATGCACTTCATTATTTTCCAGTATTGTAGATGCAACCTTGGCTATAGCAGCTCTCTTAGTGAGCATTGTTCTTTGTTCTTAGATACACATTTAAAATATAAACAATTATAGACAAATATAAACAATCATTCAACAAATCAGTAGCAATTCTTTTTATATTTATTTGTTAATCACAAACTAATGTTTGTGATACAATATGAAAAGTAAATATAGATATTTAAGCTGTTTTTCAAAAACCGATAAATTAAATTTTAAACTTATGTTACAATGAAGCTATTTAAGAATGATTTAATCAACCACCTATACAGTTCTTTCTTAAATTAATCTTAGGAGCACTATTATATTTTTCCTTCAAAATGAAAATATAATGACATACTATATATTAATTTTGCACAGAATATCCCCCCACTTGCACCTTCTTCATATTTTTTTCAGATTTGTATTTTCACTAAGTGACTAATATTCACATAGCCCTGTAAACTTTTATGCTATGCTAGAATGGCAAACGAAAATTATTTTATGCAGGGAAAATATCTATTATTTGAGTCTCGGTGGCAGCAGTATCAGCTATTTCATATTTTCATGTTTTGGCAAGTATTCTCTTCTCTTTTAATGACCTAAAATTTAGTGGAACAAGTAAATTGTATTCATTTATTTTTGCAAGCTACTTTTAATACAAAAGCAAAAAATACATGACAATCACACTCTTACTACAGTATAGCTATCAAGGGAAGACTAATTAAATTATCTACAGGGATGACAAAGGGAATTTCAAGAATCTTACATCATTTGTGACAATTTGGCTTAAAGAAGAGAAAAATTGCAAGGTAACTTTAAAAGTCATCATAGAAATTTTTACATATTTATATTTATCATCAGCTTTATACTGCTGAAGGGAGAGTAAGAGAATAGGGCCAAATTTGTTTTAGGGTAACTGTTGGTTAATTTTCAGAGAACTTGTCAGTAGTATTCAAATTAAGTCCTTATTTCTTGAACAAAGTTGCAAAATTGATCTACTTCAAAATAGTAACAGTTTAAATGGGAATTCATTTGGTTCTCGATTACCCAAATGTATTAGTTCGTTCTTGCATTGCTATAAAGAAGTATCTGAGACACAGTAATTTATAAAGAGAAGAGGTTTAATTGGCTCATGGTTCTGCAGGATGTACAAGAAGCATAAGCCTGGCATCTGCTTGGCTTCTGGGAGGCCTCAAAAAACTTAACAATCATGGCAGGTGAAGGAGTAGGCACCGCACATGGTTGGAGAAGGAGCAAAAGAGACGGGGAGGCGCTATACACTTTTATCAACCAGAGCTTGCAAGGACTCACTCACTATCATGAGAACAGCACCAAAAGGATGGTGCTAAACTATTAATATTCATAAGAAACTACCCCCATGATCCAATCAGCTCCCACCAGGCCCCACTCCCAGCATTGGAGATTACAATTTGACACGAGCTTTGGGCAGAAACACAGATCCAAACCATATCACAAAACAACTAATGAACAGAAGCTGAAAGACCGGATGAATCCCCAACCAGAGACCCTGTTGCCTTGCTGTTGAACTGAGAGTATAGAGAAGCCCCCAGGTGCTAATAGATAATTTACAGAGTATAATAGTTGCTCCTGAGTTGGCTGAATGTTTTAGATATTTTCTGCAAAGAGTGGAATAAAATGATTTAACTATTTTTAGGATACTAAGGTTTGTAAAATGTCCTAATTTGGTACGGTAGTTATAGGATTTAAAGTGTCACAATTGTATCACATATTTAACTCCAAATAATTTTGTGATCAGCCTAATCTAAGCACTTTCTAGTATCTTCAGCTATCGTGATGATTGAACATTCATAATTTTATCAGAAGGAAGAAGTAAAATATGCTGCTGTGAGAAGCCAGGCATTAGGAAATTTGTCTGATAGTCCCAGTTTTGCCACTAATTAGGTGTGGTCATTCTTTATAAGTCCCTTCTACTTCTAAAATGCTAATGTATCTGTAAATATGCAATTATTATAAGGTCAATTCAATGGAAGTAGAAAGGATGAAAAAAATTCAGAGCAAATATTTTCTTCATCCTCAGATATGTACTAGCTGTGAAATTATAGCATATGTACTTGTTCTAATCATTTATGGTAAGTTCAAGTGTATCTACAATACTTCATATAGAAATAAAAGAAAATCTTGATCAGGTGCAAGAAGTATACAAAGTGCCATCAAACTTTCTTCTCCACTTTATTAAGATCCGACAAGTGCTTCTGAAAGGTGATTATTTAACATATTAAATCTCTTTATCAGATTCATAATTTGTAAAGAAGGGCTTAATTTTTCATCTCATTTTCCACCTTCTATTCTTGCATTAAACTTTCTATGTTTGCATCTTAAGAGGTCTTGAATCATTAACCTTACTTCCATCTTAGTTATCCTGAATAGCTTCCATACTGTTAAACACAAGGTGATCCATGCCAAGTTGCTGTTTTGTAATTGCTCTTAAAGCTTTTATGAGTGGTTGTATTTTTTATTCCAACTTTATTATGAACTCCTTCAGGGAAGGACCTCCATTTCTGTTTCTTTGCCATCCTTCCACATAACATGTAGGAGGGGTGTGAGGTTACATTAATGCTGTTGACTCTATTGTTTTTAAGCATCCGCCTGGTCAACATGAGGGAACTTGTAAGTCACAGATTCAAGTCTTAGATTTCTTTCTTTCAAATTTACCATTATCAATATATCAAGCGTTAGGTTTCTGTAAGAATCCTGATAAACTGGGCTGTCAGGAGTTAATAAAGTGTTTTTTTTAAAGTTTGGTTCCTGAGTCAATATTACCTGAGAAGTTTGTTAAAAATTCAAATTCCTATGTTCTACCCCCAAACCAATAAGTCAAATTCTGTGATACTGGATACTGAATAACTACATTTTTAATGAGCTCCCTACATAATTATTGGGCATAGTGAAGTCCAAGATCTTATTTAGCAATGTCAGGAAAGAGAATTGTCCCAGGAGTAGCTACATTTACTAGGGTCTCTGAAAATGAACTGCCCCCATTATTCTACTCTGTTACAACCTTTATAACTTTATACATTTAACAAACGTGTTTTCTTTTATTCCTGCTGAGTATTTAACCTTGGTTTTCCACTCTTCTTCTTTGTGTCACGTTTATCACAGACTCCTATTTCCGGTTTTGTGGTCTTGACTAGATAAACTGATCATCACTCCTAATTGAAATTCCCTTTACTTAATAACCTGGTTTCAATGTTCTCTATTCTTGGACTATACCCAGATTTTTGTTTAATTCATTCATTGTGGCTCTACAGAAAGCTCTTGAATTCCTTTCCCTCATAGAAGGTTTTTACTGACAAATTTTGGGGGTGAAAATAAGCAAGTTCATTACTAACAATGAGAAAATTGAGTAGGTTTTAAGATCTAAGCTATGTGTTTGTTTTAAGGAGATGAATTTTTATTTTATTTTATTATTATTATACTTTAAGTTTTAGGGTACATGTGCACAATGTGCAGGTTAGTTACATATGTATACATGTGCCATGCTGCTGTGCTGCACCCATTAACTGGTCATTTAGCATTAGGTATATCTCCTAATGCTATCCCTCCCCCCTCACCCCACCCCACAACAGTCCCCAGAGTGTGATATTCCCCTTCCTGTGACCATGTGTTCTCATTGTTCAATTCCCACCTATGAGTGAGAACATGCGGTGTTTGGTTTTTTGTCCTTGCGATAGTTTACTGAGAATGATGATTTCCAATTTCATCCATGTCCCTACAAAGGACATGAACTCATCATTTTTTATGGCTGCATAGTATTCCATGGTGTATATGTGCCACATTTTCTTAATCCAGTCTATCATTGTTGGACATTTGGGTTGGTTCCAAGTCTTTGCTATTGTGAATAGTGCCGCAATAAACATACGTGTGCATGTGTCTTTATAGCAGCATGATTTATAGTCCTTCGGGTATATACCCAGTAATGGCATGACTGGATCAAATGGTATTTCTAGTTCTAGATCCCTGAGGAATCGCCACACTGACTTCCACAATGGTTGAACTAGTTTACAGTCCCACCAACAGTGTAAAAGTGTTCTTATTTCTCCACATCCTCTCCAGCACCTGTTGTTTCCTGACTTTTTAATGATTGCCATTCTAACTGGTGTGAGATGGTATCTCATTGTGGTTTTGATTTGCATTTCTCTGATGGCCAGTGATGGTGAGCATTTTTTCATGTGTTTTTTGGCGGCATAAATGTCTTCTTTTGAGAAGTGTCTGTTCATGTCCTTTGCCCACTTTTTGATGGGGTTGTTTGTTTTTTCCTTGCAAATTTGTTTGAGTTCATTGTAGATTCTGGATATGTTGATAAGCAACTTCAGCAAAGTCTCAGGATACAAAATCAATGTACAAAAATCACAAGCATTCTTATACACCAATAACAGACAAACAGAGAGCCAAATCATGAGTGAACTCCCATTCACAATTGCTTCAAAGAGAATAAAATACCTAGGAATCCAACTTACAAGGGATGTCAAGGACCTCTTCAAGGAGAACTACAAACCACTGCTCAAGGAAATAAAAGAGGATACAAACAAATGGAAGAACATTCCATGCTCATGGGTAGGAAGAATCAATATCGTGAAAATGGCCATACTGCCCAAGGTAATTTATAGATTCAATGCCATCCCCATCAAGCTACCAATGACTTTCTTCACAGAATTGGAAAAAACTACCTTAAAGTTCATATGGAACCAAAAAAGAGCCCACATGGCCAAGACACTCCTAAGCAAAAAGAACAAAGCTGGAGTCATCATGCTACCTGACTTCAAACTACACTACAAGGTTACAGTAACCAAAACAGCATGGTACTGGTACCAAAACAGAAATATAGATCAATGGAACAGAACAGAGCCCTCAGAAATAATGCTGCATATCTACAACTATCTGATCTTTGACAAACCTGAGAAAAACAAGCAATGGGGAAAGGATTCCCTATTTAATAAATGGTGCTGGGAAAACTGGCTAGCCATATGTAGAAAGCTGAAACTGGATCCCTTCCTTACACCTTATACAAAAATTAATTCAAGATGGATTAAAGACTTAAACGTCAGGTAGTGTGATGCCTCCAGCTTTGTTCTTTTGGCTTAGGATTGACTTGGCGATGCGGGCTCTTTTTTGGTTCCATATGAACTTTAAAGTATTTTTTTCCAATTCTGTGAAGAAAGTCATTGGTAGCTTGATGGGGATGGCATTGAATCTATAAATTACCTTGGGCAGTATGGCCATTTTCATGATATTGATTCTTCCTACCCATGAGCATGGAATGTTCTTCCATTTGTTTGTATCCTCTTTTATTTCCTTGAGCAGTGGTTTGTAGTTCTCCTTGAAGAGGTCCTTGACATCCCTTGTAAGTTGGATTCCTAGGTATTTTATTCTCTTTGAAGCAATTGTGAATGGGAGTTCACTCATGATTTGGCTCTCTGTTTGTCTGTTATTGGTGTATAAGAATACCTGTGATTTTTGTACATTGATTTTGTATCCTGAGACTTTGCTGAAGTTGCTTATCAGCTTAAGGAGATTTTGGGCTGAGAAAATGGGGTTTTCTAGATATACAATCATGTCATCTGCAAACAGGGACAATTTGACTTCCTCTTTTCCTAATTGAATACCCTTTATTTCCTTCTCCTGCCTAATTGCCCTGGCCAGAACTTCCAACACTATGTTCCTTACACCTTATACAAAAATCAATTCAAGGTGGATTAAAGACTTAAACGTTAGACCTAAAACCATACAAACCCTAGAAGAAAACCTAGGCATTACCACTCAGGACATAGGCATGGGCAAGGACTTCATGTCTAAAACACCAAAAGCAATGGCAACAAAAGACAAAATTGACAAATGGGATCTAATTAAACTAAAGAGCTGCTGCACAGCAAAAGAAACTACCATCAGAGTGAACAGGCAACCTACAAAATGGGAGAAAATTTTCGCAACCTACTCATCTGACAAAGGGCTAATATCCAGAATCTACAATGAACTCAAACAAATTTACAAGAAAAAAACAACCCCATCAAAAAGTGGGCAAAGGACATGAACAGACACTTCTCAAAAGAAGACATTTATGCAGCCAAAGGACACATGAAAAAATGCTCACCATCGCTGACATCAGAGAAATGCAAATCAAAACCACAATGAGATACCATCTCACACCAGTTAGAATGGCAATCATTAAAAAGTCAGGAAACAACAGGTGCTGGAGAGGATGTGGAGAAAAAGGAACACTTTTACACTGTTGGTGGGACTGTAAACTAGTTCAACCATTTTGGAAGTCAGTGTGGCGATTCCTCAGGGATCTAGAACTGGAAATACCATTTGACCCAGCCATCCCATTACTGGGTATATACCAAAAGGACTATAAATCATGCTGCTATAAAGACACATGCACACGTATGTTTATTGCGGCATTATTCACAATAGCAAAGACTTGGAACCAACCCAAATGTCCAAGAATGATAGACTGGATTGAGAAAATGTGGCACATATACACCATGGAATACTATGCAGCCATAAAAAATGATGAGTTCATGTCCTTTGTAGGGACATGGATGAAATTGGAAATCATCATTCTCAGTAAACTATCGCAAGGACAAAAAACCAAACACCGCATATTCTCACTCATAGGTGGGAATTGAACAATGAGATCACATGGACACAGGAAGGGGAATATCACACTCTGGGGACTGTTGTGGGGTGGGGGGAGGGGGGAGGGATAGCATTGGGAGATATACCTAGTGCTAGATGACGAGTTAGTGGGTGCAGCACACCAGCATGGTACATGTATACATATGTAACTAACCTGCACAATGTGCACATGTACCCTAAAACTTAAAGTATAATAAAAAAAAAAAGACTTAAATGTTAGACCTAAAACCATAAAAACCCTAGAAGAAAACCTAGGCATTACCATTCAGGACATAGGCATGGGCAAGGACTTCATGTCTAAAACACCAAAAGCAATGGCAACAAAAGACAAAATTGACAAATGGAATCTAATTAAACTAAAGAGCTTCTGCACAGCAAAAGAAACTACCATCAGAGTGAACAGGCAACCTACAAAATGGGAGAAAATTTTCGCAACCTACTCATCTGACAAAGGGCTAATATCCAGGAGATGAATTTTTATCACACTATGCTGGCTACTATAATTCTTTGATTATAGTACTTGCTGAAATTTCTAATGTAGTATCCTAGTTGCCTAATTAACATGGAACATTAAGTGCCTCTGGATTAAGGCATTTAAATTATATTGACCTAAATGTTTTATAACTGGACATTACATCCTCAAAGAAAATGAATCTCTTTATTGTCTTATCAAGATACATTTTATTTTTTACATTTGACACGGTCTTTATTCAAAAAAGGGAATTTAAAAAGTATGGTTTTATGTCTCCAAATCTTCTCTGAGATTATCTGCTATGTCCAGCCATTTTTTGAAAAACACAATATTGCAGTATCATGACTGTTCTGGAAACAAACATTTTCTTTCTGAAGCATATGCAGTCTACACTGCAGGGCTCACATATAGAGAATTTAATAATAAAAGATCAAGATTAAAGACTCTATACTCTCCTAGGGAACTACAGAAAAGTTTTCCTGATTGTTCTCATGACTAGGTTTTTTTGTCAAAAGGAATACTTTTCTCTTCCAGTTAAGGTATAATATTAATCATTATATTAAATGTACTCAATTTGAGTATACTAAAACTTTTCTGTATTACTTAGCCACTAATCCTAAATCTTCTTTTTCACCATTTTGACTTTAAACCTTTACACTAGAATATTGAATGATGCACAGAGTACCATTATAGCCCTGGAGTATTTTGAGTTGGATTATGAATTAATATTTACTGGTGAGTTTCATAATTTCCTGTTTTTGTTATAGTAATTATCATCTTTTGATTTCTAGTTGCAGTAGTCTCAAGTATTTCTTATAAGGCCAGTCTAATGGTCATAAATTCCCTCCGCTTTTGTTTAGGAAGGTCTTTACTGTTTCTTCATTTGTAAAGGTTAGCTTTGCTGAATATGGGATTAGTGAAAGACAATGGTTTTTTTTTTTCCTTTTATCACTTTGAATATATAATTGCATTTTCTCCTGACGTGAAAAGTTTCTACTGAGAAATCTGCTGAAAGTCCAATGAGTATTCCCTTAAATGTGATTTGGTGCTTACCTTTTGTAGCTTTTAGAATTCTCTCTCTGTCTTTGATTTTGGACAGATTGTTTATAGTCTGCCTCAGAGGGGATATATTTGGGTTGAATATAATTGGAAACAGTTGAGCTTCCTGAATCTGGATGATCGTGATAAGATGCCATACTTGGAAAGTGTTTAGCTACTTCGTTAAACAGGTTTTCTGTGACTTTCTCCATTACTTCTCCCTGGAACTCTTTTTTTTTTTTTTTTTTTTTTTTTTTTTTTGTCTCGCTTTGTTACCAGGCTGGAATGCAGTGGCGCAATCTTGGCTCAACTGCAACCTCTGCCTCCTGGGTTCAAGCGATTCCCCTGCCTCAGCCTCTCGAGTTGCTGGAACTACAGGCACGTGCCACCACGCTGAGCTAATTTTTATACTTTTAGTAGAGACGGAGTTTCACCATGTTGGCCAGGATGGTCTCAATCTCTTGACCTCGTGATCCACCTGCCTCGGCCTCCCAAAGTGCTGGGATTACAGGCATTAGCCATGGCGCACAGCCTGGAACACTGTGCAACTGTGAGTTTCTTTATTTAATGGTGTCTCGTAAGTCCCATAGGCTTTATTCATTCTCCTTTATTATTATTTTTTCTCTGACTGAGTTATTTCAAAAAGCTTGCCTTTGAGTTCAGAAATACTTTCTTCTGCTTAATCTAGTCTATTATTAAGCTTACAATTGTATTTTTATTTCATTATGAAATTCTTCAGCTCCAAAATTTCTGCTTAATTCTTTTTCATTATATCTATCTCTTTGTTGAATTTTTCACTTAGATCACAAATTGTTTCCCTAATTTTTCTGAATCATTTGTTTGAATTTTTTTGTATCATGTTGAGTTTCCTTATAATCATTATTTTAAATTCTTTTTCAGGCATTTTGTAAATATTATTTCTACATTCTCTATTCTTTCTAGGCTTTGGATGCCTAGGTCTTAGTTTTACCATCAGGTGTAGGCTCCTGGCAGCCAAGGTTGTGATGTTACAGAATTTCATTCTCCAGTGATCTGTTACTGGAAACTTATCATGTTTCTTTGTATGTATTATGTTTCCTTGCTTTTTCGTGTTTCTTGTGTGCTCAGGTTGGTATCTGTGCATCTAGTAGAACAATTGTTTTTTTTTTTTTTTCCAATTTTGTGAGTAGCTTTCCCAGAGAGAGTCTTTCTTTCCTACAGATGAATCCTAGGGTGTCACTTTTATATGGTATATATGTCAGTGGCCTAGGCTGTGGAGCTCTGGGATGGCAGTGTCACCGTTTTGCTGGGAAGGAAACACCAGGCTGGTTTTTATGCTGGATGTGTGGGGGTGGAAAGCTCTCCAGGGGGTTGGAACAGCCACTAAACTGGCTATGAGGATGGGCATGGGCACACACATATATGTGCGGGTGTGGGAAGCTGGCAAGTTGTTCAGAAGATTCTCTGCTGTGCAGGTCCAACTGTTTCCTAGGGAGGAGAGTGTCGCGTGGCTTTGGTTGCTTAGGTCTTAGTTTTAACATCAGGCCCAGGCTCTTGGCAGCCAGGGTTGTGGTGCTGCAGGCACCCATGTGAATGTGATAGAATGATGATGAGGTCTCAGGGACAAAGAGTATAAGTGGTTATTGGCCTCCAATGCAGGACACACTGTAATGGTGAGTCCAGTTTCAAGATGGTGCTATGATGCAACAGCTTACGATACAGGGTTGCAGAACTATATTTTTAAGAATGTTCTCAAAAGCTTGGAATCTTTTATAGTAGATTAGGTAATCCATGTCAAGATGACAATTAGTGTAAATATATAAAAGTGAGGTGTTTCTAACTGCCTGGGAAAACTTCCTTGCAAAAATCTCATTAACTAAAAATTGCAGACTATTTTCGTCTCTTGTTCAGGAATTTCAATGATAAATTTTTCCATTGTTTTCATTATTTCATTCCATAGTTTTATAGTTTTCACTGATTCTTCATTGTCTACAACAGTACCTCTTAAATTTTCTTGTAAAATGGAACTTTTTGAGAACCTGAGGAAAGTGAATGGAACCTCTCCCTCAAAATATTCACACACACAATATATTTTAGAGATTTCTTGAGGATTAATACGCTCTGACTTCTAAGAAAATGTCCAGAGTCCCTATCTTGTCTTTTAAGAGCCTCCATAATATAGCTCTGACCTTCTTTTTTGGTCTCCTCATTTTGTAGTCTTCTCCAATATATGTCTTTCATTTCGACAAAACTGAAGTCTTCCATTGGAGTATACATTAAACTTCTCTGCTTCATTACCTTTTTCCTTAGAAAGGCAATAGAAAGGTTTTTCGTTCTTCCTATAATTAATTATTTCCCATAGTTGTATTAAAATGTGTCCATTCCTCAAGCTTAATCTCAAATTATGTCACCTCCATGAAACATTCCAAGATTTTTCTGGCCAGAAAGACTTTCTTTTCTTTGAATGCCTATGGAGCTCAATGACTAAGCAATTTAAAGTTTTCTTACATTGCACTTCTTTTTTACGGCCATGAAACCTTTCAAGGGAATACACTTTATCTCTCCAACTATGCCATAAGCCTCTGGTGAAAATTAGCACATATTATTTACCTTTTTATTCATTTGTATGAGTAGGAAACCATCATGCACATAAATGAGGGCTCAATAAATAATTCTTGAATGGAGGAAACATTAATAGAAAACCAACATCTTAAACAACTGAATTTTGGCACGTTGCAACATACTTCAGACTAAATTAAGTAGCTGTGTTGCTTACAATTTTATGTGACAGTCTGTTACTCATGCGTTGTTTTCAGTTTTGTTACAGGTACTGTAATCAACATTAACCAGAAAAGGACACCTAAGTCTCACTGTGCTGATAGCAGTCTAGTTTTACAGGAAAAGGGTAGACAAGAAATGTAATAGATAGCTTGCCTTTAGTAAGCTACCCAGGGCTTGATGAAGAACCAATTGCTTCTGTTACATAAGTGCCGAGAAAATTGCAAGGTATTTAGTATGGCTGCTGATGAAGAAAGAGCAATAGACAATGTGGGGAGGAGGGCAAGACACACATTCTGTACAGTAATATTTAAAAGCATGCAAGGGATGAGTCATAGTGACTAATAGTGATAAGCTAAGAAATGTTAACCAGAAGTTACAAAGAACTATGAATTCACTGCTGATAGTTTCAATAAATATGATCATTGATATTTGGTCTCTTTCAGTGCAAATGATAGTGTAAGTATAATATATATGTATTGATTTAGAAAATACATACGTTATAGTGTTTCCAGAGTAAACCTTTATGTAATGGTTAATGTTCAAAATTTCAATGATGCTCATTTAATCCTAAAACATCAGATAACTGAAAACGATTTGATTTAAGTTTTCTCACTTCTAGTCACCTTTTCTTAGATAGTTATTTTTAGTCTACTTGTAAAATCTTATTTCTCAAACAAACACCATAGCTGAAAATTTTCCATTCTTCATGGTGAAATGATTATCTAAATGGAATAGAAACACTGTAAGTAAGATATACTTAATGACTATATTTTTCTTTTAGCATAGGAAGATGATAAAAATTTTTATATAATAAAGACTGTCTTATATCTGTCATTGTTTTTCTTTTGAGAGATAAATCGCAGCAATGTAAATATTATTTTAAAGTAGCAGGCCATATTTTTATTTGAAAATACTAATAAATATATACCACTTCATTAGTGTTCGTGGAATCCTCAGTGATAAAAAAATAAGTTTTTCTGTTATACCCAACTGTGATTTAATTAGTTGCTACAGCCTTAAAATTGATATACACTGAATGATAGCCACAATTAATATCATGTTAGTCAGATTTGATACTGCATGTAGTTACTAGATGTTATCAGAACTTTAGCTAACTTCTTTAGGATTGCCTTTATGATATTATCTTGTTTCTAATGTGTAGGATTTATGCATTAGAGACAGTAACAGCCCATTGATTTTGACTCAGTATTACGTTAACTAGTTGCCAACAAGCAAAACAAACAACAACCAATACCCAGTTTTCCCAATTGGATGGTCCTTTATTGCTGACTTAGGAAATTGATTCACGCAGATAACCCTTGCTAAAATATTGCATTTTTTTTAAAGAAAAGCTGTGATAGTTTAATCATAGAATAGAGTCCCCACATACCCCGCACTCAATTTATTTTACTATTAACATTTTGTTAGTATCGTAAATATGTTACAATTAAGTAACCAATATTCATACATTATTATTAACTAAAGTCCATTTTTGTTCAATTTCCTCAGTTTCCACTAAAGGTCCCTTTTCTGTAACACATCACATTTATATTTCATGTCTCCTTTGGCTCTTCTTGATTGTGACAGTTTCTCAGATTTTCTTTTTTGATAATACTGACAGTTTCAGGAGTATAGACCAGGTATTTTGTAGAATGTCCCCCTATGTAAATTTCTCTGATGTTTTTCTTATGATTAGATTGGAATGATGGGGATGGGGGAGGAAGATAACAAAGGTAAATATTATTGTCATTACATCACACTAAGTGTACATACTGTCAACATGATTGAACAATATTTTAATGTTTAAAATGTTTAATTGACAGTTAATAATTGTGCTTATTTATGGGGTACAATGCAATGTTTTGATCTATGTATACATTAAAAAGATTTGATAAACTAATTATCATATCTGTCACCTCACCAATTTATTTTTATTTTTTGGTGAGAATGTAAAAAATTTTAGCAATTTTGAGCACTTTTGATGTTAAACTTGAGTATCTGGCTAAGCTCATATTTGTCAGACTTCTCCGCTAATGGTGTAAATTTACACTTTCCTGCCCTTCTTTCATACCGTACTCGACCCTTTGGAAAGAAGTCACTATGTGCAGCTTACACTTAAGGCCCAGTATTCTGCTCGACCTCTTTGAGGGCAGAGTGCTGGCATAAATTATTTGAAATTCTTCTGCACAAAAAAATTGTCTTTTTTCTTTCATTTATTTATTTATTTTTATTTATTTATTTTTTTGAGACGGAGTTTCACTCTGTCGCCCAGGCTGGAGTGTAGTGGCGCAATCTCGGCTCACTGCAACCTCTGCCTCCTGCGTTCAAGCAATTCTCCTAACTCAGCCTCCCGAGTAGCTGGGATTACAGGTGCCTGCCACCACGTCTGGCTAATTTTTGTATTTTTAGTACAGACGGGGTTTCACTATGTTGGCTAGGCTGGTCTCGAACTCCTGACCTCAAGTGACCCGCCTGCCTCGGCCTCCCAAAGTGCTGGGATTACAGGCATGCGCCACCACGGCCGGCCTTCTCATTTACTCAGTCATCTATTTATATCAGTATGGACTCATGGGTGTTTATTTTATATTATGATTTGCAATCCAATAGTACTTCCTTTTGCTATTGAAATTGTTCCAGTTTTGGCTATTGGGAGCTTTTTTAGTTGATCCCTGTGTCCCTTTGACACACCTACATCATTTTTTTGAATACTTATTTTCTAGCACTACAAGATGTTTCAGGTTTACCTTTCAGAATATTGATTTTGACTTAAGTTTTTTAACTGAGGATCCAGTGTTCCCCAGTGCTCCTCCTTGATTTCGGTTTTTCTTTCTCCTTTAAATAAAATAATTTCACACTGGTACAAATACATACATATACATATACGTGTACATATATGTATAAAACACTGCAATTATTTTCACTAATAAAGTCATATGACTTATAATGTCTTAAGGCATCAACAAGATTAGCATTAGGGGCAAGGGTCAGAAAGAAGACATACAAGTTTCCAAAAAAGTCTTTAAAGTACAAAGTGACTGAACATTTGTGCAATTTGCAACACGTCAATATAATTAATATGCTGCTCTTGACATCACATGTTATATAATACAATGCATTTTGAAGCCTTTATTTCTATTTCCAAATGCAAAAATTAAATGATGTCTTTCACATATCAGAAATAATAACTATGTTTAATCATAAAAGAATATGTCTCCAAAGTATCACCAAGATCCTTAAATGAGAGTCCCCAAATTTTGAAATATTAAATATATTTTAATGAATGTTAACTTAATTATATACGTGATACCGTACTGTCAAGAATGAGACATGAAGACCATGGTACCACACTCTCAGGATTGAGGCAATGAGTAGCAAGGATTTGCAATCAACCAGCAAAGCTTTCATCTCTAAAAATGTTAGGAATCATTGCAATAAATTTAAATTTTTTGTCGTAATGTTCTAAATGTAGTAAAGCAATTGAATAACTTATGTAATTTTGTGCGGTGTGTTTTAAACCATAGGCAAAAAGATTTAACCTTAACCTTTCTGTAAATAACTATATAATTGTAGTTCATTTCTCATTCCTTCATTTGACATAAAAGTCTCTACTGAATAATGCAGTGTAAAGTTAAGTGAAGCAGGCCTAGTTCTGAACTTCAGAAAATCACACTATTTTCACCTCGTAAGAAGACAGGCAACAACATTAACAGATATAATGCCTGGAGAAATACCAATTGTAGATATGAGCATCAGCTTCACATTCAAAGATTTTCCTTGGGGGCAGGAGAAAATATATGTAAAGTGCTCCATGCTTGGCACACAGTAAGCATCAACAAAAGGTACTTCTTATTTTTAATGTTGTATTAGTATTGCTTTGTTATTGTTACCTTTCCAAAGTCATTTCCTACCACTCTCTCTGTTGAGCGTGCTTCTCCAGATACACTATCAACCACACTCCCATCTCAGGTCCCATGAAATTGATTTCTTCCTGGAAAGCACTCCCTGCAGATACCCACATATCTCATTTTCTGCTTTATGGGAAATAATTTTACAATAAGTTTCACTGTTTTAGACTTACAATTTCTCTTATGCATGAGTATTTCCCTAGCATATTTCATAAAACAGATGGGTTTGTGTTGAGGATGAAGACCTACAATACATTTGACCCTATCTGAATCGTTTTGTTAAAAAAGGCAAATACACTATCATGTGTCTGTTTTCATAAAAGGCAGAGGTCTCTGTATGAGGCATGTGCCACGCTGGCTGAATAGCCATATCCCCAGAGGGCAAAAGAGCAACATGGTTACAGGATGGCTGGAAAGTCACCTCTGTGGTCATGGACCACACATGTGATCCTAAAATCACTATAATGAATAACAGGGCAGGACATAATTTTTAGTTCACCGGTTAAGGAATATTTTGAACATTAATCAATGGACTCTGTGGGGACATGTGGCATTGATTTGTATAGAAAAGCATATATGGTGGTTAAGTACTCCCTTGGCACAGGAGAAGTACCCTCTCATTTGCTTCAAATTCTTGAGTCAGACATTCTGTCTTCTTTTCACTTCATTTAAATATCTACTCAAATATTACCTCATCCAAAAAGCCTTCTCTATCTGAAGGAGTGCCCTCTACTTCACTCTATTCTTTCAAATTAATTTTTCTCATATTATTTATAATCACCTAAATATTATAATTTGGTTTGTTTTTATTGCCTCTCTCTTCCCATTAGAATGTATATTCAATGATTCAATGAAAACAGATTTCTCTGTTTTGATCCTGTTTTATCCCTAACATCTAGAAGAGTGCCTGGAACACAATGAATGCTCAATCTTTGTGGAATAAATTATTAATAAATTCTAAGTCTTATTCATCCAATCCTACTTTCTTTTGGATAGCAACATATACAATAACATCTGCTCATTTTTTCTAGGCAAACCTCACTTGAAACTTGGAAAGGGCTCTAGTAAAGAAAGAATGGAGTCTTTTCTGGCAGTGCACAGATGACAAAAATATTTAAAGTCACATATCAGTACAGTTGGTAGGTTGTGCAAAAGCCTGAAACCCCAACAGGTAAAATAAGGGCATGGTCCCCATTCCTGACAATTCCTTAGAATTAAACAGCTCTGTAAATGTCCAATTTTGTACTGGGGCATGTTCTTGGCCCATAAATGGTTCATTTGCACTTTATTCAATGTCTTCGAACACAAAGAGGAAATCACGACATCTCTTTCAGTAAATGCAGTAAGCATGATTTTTCATGTTAACACTGTGACATCCATCTGTATACTTATGCAATAATATGTTTATGAGCAATTGCAAATACCTATATATATTATTTCATAATTAAATACTCTGTCACATAGGAAGCATTATCATAATACAATGTTAAAATATGTGTTCTTTTTGTTGGAATGCTATGGTTGAAATAAGGAAAGGGAAGCAAAGATGCAGAGTTAGTTGATAACTAGGACAAAAGTAAAATGATAATTGAGCACAGGTCTCTGATGACCAGCATACTGGTATATGAATACTCACAGTGTGGGATCACAATACAGAGCTATTCCTAAATGCTCTATGTATTTATAATTCAATTTCATATGAATACATTTGAATTTTTAACTTTCCAAACCAACATGTCAACATAACTTTAACAATGTTGGCTTTAATATCCCTTCCAGGACTAACTGTGATTTATTCTGCTATATTGTATGTTTGCAATTTAGTCCATTCTCTATTTATTCCCCATAATATTTGTAGAAATCTGGATGGCTTAAAGAGCCTTACTTTACTCTGAGCGTCATAGCTCATCTTGTGCTAGTATGATAATTCTCCACACTCACTACTGTTTTCTTTTTTAAAAAACCACTGGAGTCATATTGAGGGGATGGCAGCCTGCTGCCAACTTGTTGGGATCTTTTCTTCCTGCTCCTCAATATTGCTCAAGAAGAGAGGCACTGGAGAAGCAAGGCATCAGAAAGCTCCTTCTCAAATGATGCTGGACCAAGACAGGAAGATTTAGAATGGTTAAGGAGAAGGTAATAAACCATCGTATTTCAATTAATAAGATCTTCAATTTAGCCCCTCCTGCCTAAGATATCCTTGGCACACCTATAAAACCATTTCCTGTATGTATATTAAGAAAACGTTAGCTTTCCAATGAAACCATAGAATAATTAACAAGGCATTTCTTTAGAAAATAAAAAATGTCAGGAATAAAATCAAAGGATAAATGCGCTTTTTAAACTGTCACTTGATGACGCTTTAAATGTGACATTTTACCTAACATTTTTTCTAACATCTATTTTATTGTAAATATTCCCATACTAGAAAATTAATTCATGTATTCTCAAATAATTTTGTTCCAAAGTTACAGTTGGTAATTTAAATTTCCCTACAGCAGAGTTAAATTCATTTATTAATCTCCAAATTCAGCAGTTTTTTAAAAATTGTTCTTGGTGACGAGAACAAATTTGAAAGCCTGCTGAATTTAAAATTATGGACTCTATATTACTTTGAGAGTCTTATTTGTTGTACCAAATGCAACCTGCAATCCCTACAGTTATATAGCTTTTCCACGAGCAAGCACAAAATATTTAGGAAAATTTCACACATACGTGCTTTATTTCCTGAGAAGTTTATATGACAGACAATCTAACATTATTATTAATGTCATTTCACAAAGTCTTCTGCATGTTTATATTTCAACAAGACTGAGTTCCTATAAAGGCATCATTTTGCTGTAATGTTATTAGGCTGCTTCTTCTTCTGATAAACTGTTTTGAATTTATGAAAGCAAGACACTGTGAGGTTGTTTTATTGGGAAAACTTATATTAAGAAGCAAATCTGCCAGTCCTTCTTCTCTATTTTTAGGTAGAGACATAGTATGCCAGATATCCAGGTTTCCAAATAAATTAGCATGTTGAACTACTATATGATCTAAAATGCATAAAAACACTTATTTTTCTATAGTACTACTGAATATTAATTACATTGCCAATATTATCAACTGTGTCTAAAACACGTTGGGACTATAAAAATGTCTGATAGTGAAAAAGCAAAAAACAAAGAGATAAGGATACACTAGGTTAAGTTATAGTTGACAGTATTAGAGAACAGAATGTAATTTTCTTGCACTCAAACAATACCGGTGGGCATAAAAGTAAAGACAAAATCAAATGTTTTATGAACTATACCCAAACTACACTATATCGTCACTGTTTATTCAATTTTCATTTTATGTAAAAGCTGAAATGCTCCATTTCCCGCTTTAAGATCACATTGCTGTAAGTAGCATCTTATTACCTGCTTTATGTAGAATATTTTCATGCTTGCAAAAACTAGCTATGAAAGTAATACAACTTGAAATGAGTCTCCGAACGCCAAATATTCCATATTGTCACATAAAGATAACACAGTTTTAAGAGTCAATATCGCAACTATGTACTAAGGAAACAGATAAGGATGTGCTGATCAGTCACAGCTTTTATTTTGTTAAAGTTGGCCTAACTCACAATGTCAGAAAGAGTTCTCCGTGATTCATAACACTTGCACAAAGAATTGCATTTAAACATCTGAGCCACGGAGTGTATTTATAGAACATTAGTAATTACAATAAACATCTCTTAGAATTGAAACAGAATTCTTAATGAAAATAGGAGAAGTAAACTCATAACCCACCCCCCAAATTTCCGGTAATTATAAAGACGTATTCATTATTGCTGTTTTCTTTTATAAACTTAGAGGAGACGGTTTCTGAGAGACTCTGATTGGCTGAATACAAACTCAGAGATTATTATGACACTTTCTATTTAAACACTAAACATGAATTGTAGAGGATAAGTTAACTGAAGTTACGGCATTCAGTTATGCGACCAAAAACTCTTACCTTGCTGTAGAATCTTCTATATTGTCATCAGCCATCATCTCCAAATCTTGTGCGCGTTTCTCACAAGCTTCTTTGAATAAATTCTTCTCTGGAACTGATTTAGGAGTATCTTCATTTGCTTGAAAATGTACTATCAGATTATGTTGCTGCAAATTCTGAACGGCTCTCTGATGGGCAGGGGCCGGTCCTGGCACTGGTGCCAGTATATTGTGGTGGACAGGACTGTTGCTTTTCTTCAGTCCGTTTCTGTCCCGAGAGTGGCTCTTCAACCTGCCCTGAACCGGGGTCCCTCTATGCTCATATCCTTCCTGCTGAAGACAGCTTCCAGTGTTGGTGGAACCTTGAAAAGGATGACTAAACCACCTCCAGCGTAGCCTTAGGATCTGTTTCACATCAAACTCTTTCTTGCCAGACACTGACATCGTAGCAGGAGGAAAGACAAAAGCCTTCTCTCACAGAAAGGAAACGGAGCCTTTGTTATCTCTTGTTTTTCTGCCTCTTCTGTAGAACTAACAAAAGCACAAGTGCCGAGAGCAGTCTTTCTTGCTTTCTCTCCCCTCCCCCACTGCCTATGATACACTGTGAATACTTGTAGCCTTCTAGCAGAAGCAGAAGGCTGCAGCTAACAGTGTAGGTGGGAACCCATGCTGACAGGATGATGAGGTCAGACCTTAAACAAGTAAATCAGCTTACCACAGGAAAGCAGCCACCACAACACTCTCCAGCTGTTAGATTTGCAGGCTTGCAGCCCTCCTGCTTGGACTTGCAAATATCTAGCCCTGCTTCTTCAGTATCAAAGTACAGTAGCTGCAGCTGAAACCCAGGCAAGTGAGCCAAAGCGAAGTGTTTAAACTTATTTTCTTCTAGATTCCTTCTACTCACGCCTCCCCTGCTAGATTCATTTCTCAGTAGCCCACTTCTAAAAATGTGCCACTTTGTTCCATGATAATATGCGACAGAGGAATTCATTATAATCTATTTTGAGATTCCTTTTATGGAAACTTTGAAAATGGTTCATTAAGGGAAAGCATCAGTACCCTCATGCGGGTTCGTAATTAGTTTTTACAAAATTAATCTGAAAATGTGAAAGTCTCTATATGAATATTTACCTGAAAACTTGACAGATTTTAGAAACATGTAAGAAAGTATTGGTTACCCATGACCACTCACACAAACACGCCATTTGGGAATGTAGAAATGGTATTTTTAGTCTACATATGGAGGAAGAAAGCAGTGCTTTTCCAAGCTAGTTAGGTTAAAAGAGATGTCTTCTCTCAGTTACCACAGCTTGAAAATGAATAGTTCATTCTGGCTCCATGCCTGGATACAAACCTTCTTATCATGCCTTTTACTTTCACAGGCAGTGTTAAAGGTTTATTTTCTTTGTTCAAAAACCCTTATGAGAGGATGAACAGAGTATGTTTTGAATTAATTCCAAATCATCACACTGTTCAGGAATAACTGTGCCCAAAGTACTTTGAGATCTGAATCATAATCACTACTTTGTACAGATGGACATGTTTACAAAAGACAGTCATGTATCAAGAATGCATTTATCATTGACATTTTGAAATTCAGTTTGTACTTTATCCAGTTCTCATATCATGCATACAGGTGATAAAGGGGAAATTATACTGGTGTATGACTAGAAAGAACACTGAAGTTGTAAGATTTTGCTTTTAGTTTGACTTTATGGTTAATGAACTGTGTGACCTTGGACAAGTCACTTTACTTTTTTGCATCTCAATTTCTTCATATATATTATACGGAGTCTAGACAGATTTCTATGTTTTCAAAAGCACTCAGATGTGATGGATTTAAAAACAACTGAAGAGAGAATAAAATGAATCTAAGTTTTGATAGGCATTTTATCTGTGGTTTTCTTTAAATTCAATTATACCTCTCCCTTTCCCCTCTTGTTTTTGTAGGTGTGATAGTTAATTTATGCATCAACCTGACTGAGCTATGGGATGCCCAGATATTTGGCTAGTCTCGATGTTTCTGTGAGGGTATTTTTTTTTTGGATGAGTTTAACATTTAAATTGATAGACTGAGTAAAGCATATTCTCCTCTCTAATTGGGTGGGGCTCATCCAATCAGTTGAAGGCCTAAATACAACAGAAGGCTGACCTTTCCCTCAATAAGAGAGAATTACTCTTGCCTCACTGCCTTCTATCTGGAACATGGGATTTCTTCCTGCCTTTAGACTTTAACTGAAACACTGCTTCTTCCTGGATTTCAAGTCTGCCAGCATTTGCGCTGGAAATACACCATTGGCTCTCCTCAGTCTCCAGCTTGCCAACTGCAGATCTTGGGACTTGTCAGGCTCCATAATCATGTCATCTAATTCCTTATAATAAATCTGTGTGTGTGTGTGGTGTGTGTGTGTGTGTGTACATATAGAGGAAACAAACTGTAAATATCAGGCAGAATAAATAAAATGTTGTAACAGAAATGTAAATAACATGTGGTAGGAGCAAGAAGTACTAAATTATCCATTTAAGTAACTCTAAATAATACTTTTTCATATATCAGGAGTCTATAACCTTATTTTTCTAACATGTTCTTTGAGCTTGTTATGATTTAGATATAATTGGGGATTTGCCTGTGTACCTTTTACCATAAGATGAAGATTAACTAATATCTGTCAGAATCTAACCTTTGATAGCACAATTTTCTGTAAGAATTTGCCAAGAATGTGCCAAGAATGTGCTTTTTAAGTGTATGCTGAATATGGTCATTTTCCTGGATCTTAAACAAGGAATCATAGAATGACTAAGAAAGTTTTAGGTCTCCTAGAAAAAAATAAAAAGAATAGTATTTTTATGAAACATGAAGATTCCTTTTACATTTCTGATTACAAAAGAAAGATTTAAGCATATTCAAACAAAAATGAGGAAAATGTCTGTAAGGATAGAAACTATGTCTTATTAATAATTTCCTTCCCTTTGCCTTATTATCTACTTTGCACCTGGTAATATTTAATCTATGTAGATTTAATGCATAACAAATTCTAAGTGGAATTCTTGTATTAGGGTTCCCTAGAGGAACAGAATAGGATATATATATATATATAATATATATATAATCAATTGTATATAATAATATACAAATGATATAATATATATAATAATATACATTATTTGTATATTATTATATATATAAGTTATATATATAATTAACTTCCATATACAGGAAGTTAATTAAGTATTGAACTAATAGGATATACACATTATATAATCAATTGTATATTTTAATATACAATATAATATATAATATATATAATACTATGTATAATTAATATATATTAATTGTATATTATTGTATATATTAGTTATATATATAATTAACTTCCATATATATGTGGAAGTTAATTATATACATATATGTGGACATTAATTTTATATATATATATATATATATATATATATGGAAGTTAATTAAGTATTAACTTACATGATCACAAGGTCCCACAATAGGCTGTCTGCAAGCTTGAGGAGCAAAGACAGCCAGTCCAAGTCTCAAAACTGAAGAACTTGGAGTCCGATGTTTGAGGGCAGGAAGCATCCAGCATGGGAAAAAGATGTAGGCTGTAAGACTAGGCCAGTCTCACCTTTTCACATTTTTCTGCCTGCTTTATATTCGCTGGCAGCTGATTAGATTGTGCCCACCAGACTAAGGGTGGGTCTGCCTTCCCCAGCCCACTGACTCAAATGTTAATCTCTTTTGGCAACATCCTCACAGACACACCCAGGATCAATACTTTGCATCCTTCGATCCAATCAAGTTGACACTCAGTATTAACCATCACAATGATTATCATATAAATTATTATCATATAAATTTACTTTATCAATGAATGCCAGAATTGTAAAATAAAAGAAAAATGCAAAATAGCTATGGGACTAAAGTGCCATCTAAATAATTACTGATTATACAGGTTGGGGAATAAGCCTACAAACCAGTTGAATATTTAGGGCAATGTAAAAGCCATGAGCTCTCTCGATATTGTATTTTAGCAAAACCTTGTGTAGCAAATTAAGTTAGTCAGCTACTAGGACACTATGGTAGTTAACATTATTGAAAATTACTTGGGAATACTTTGTTTTATTTCTTTCCCATAATTATCTGATTATACAACTGAAAGAAAAATTACATAGCCATAGACATCTGTGTATTAAAAGCTACACATCAACAACCTTTCATGTGCTTAACTGGAACTATTTCACTTGGCATGAGACACATTATCCAGCACTAAAATGGTCAAAATAAAAGTAATATCTAATTTTGAAAGGTTGTATGCTAAGCACACAACTTTAAAACAAGTCTGTCCTAAATCACTGCATCAAAAATCATTACAAAATTTTGAAATAGGTAAAAAACATTAATGTTGACTCATGGCTCAAATCACCCCAGCAAAAAGAGATCAAAGAATGGAATAACATTGCTATAATAAAACTCCTTCCATTTACATCCACTTATTTAGGTAAACAAACATTTTCAACACTCATGTCTGTAAAAACAAACAAAAATAAATTAACTGATGCTGACTCCTGTCTTATTCTTCCTCAATAAAAATTATATTTAGAGTCAAAAAATTTAAAAACTAAAATTTATGTATTTGTTGTAAAAATATGATAAGGTAATCAACAAAATACTTTCAAGTAAAAATGTGTTACGAAATAATTATCTTAGGAAACTTAAATGAAAATGTGGATTCGAGGAGAAAAGGAACTATTTGAAATTTCTGCTCCTAAAGAAAAAAATTTCATGTATTATTGAATTATAAAGGTATTAAATCACTACAATATATAGATTCCATTGAATATGTTTGAAAAAGTAATTTAAAAATTTATTTTGAAATACTAACGTTTAAAGTATGATAGAAAGTGCATTTTTTGACACTTTAAAATTATGATGTAATATTTCAAATGTGAGCTTCATATTGTATCAGACTCTACATAATTTTTCAAATTTTTTTGTAGAGGATGTGTGGAGCAAAATGTTTGAAGACAATTCCTGAAGGCTAACGCAAGTTTGAAAGATTATCACTTAATTTTAATCCCTTTTTTACTCCATTCCATAGTTAATTTGAGCATTCTGCAGTAGCATTTTACAAACCTTCCTCATTTATTCCTCCCTTCTTTCCTATGGAACATGACGGCTATCCCCTTTTCTATATTGAAACCATTCACTCTCGTGCAACTGTTCTCAAAGTTCAGTGAGCTATCACTTTATATTTTTTACTTATTAAATGGGCAGATTCTGATTAGCAGTTTTAAGGAAGGGTCCAGAAACCCATTTGTTCAATAATCACTTAGGGCACCCTTTGAAAGTGGCCCACAGACATTTTAAGAAATAGTGTTTTAAAGTAGCCAACATGTGGTCTTAGTTGAATAGAATTCTTTCTTCTAATTTTTAATTTCCTTGATTTTTTTTTTACTCATTCATTCATTAATCCATCCAACAAAGGCTTATTGAGTGCCTACTACGTGCTGGGCTCTGACGATGCAAATATGATTACACTGTTCTTGCCCACAAGAGCTTACCTTTTGTACTCTTGACCACCTCATCTTTCCTGGAACAGTCTTCTCTTGGTTCTTAATAATATGCACTCTTTTTCTCCTGTCTGTGCCTTGATATCCATCATTCTCTCCTCTTCACCTAGAAATATATATACGTCCAGATTTCAGGTTTCAGCCTTGTCTCACTGCTTTTACTTCTTTATTATTAACTATCATATAAAGTTTATTTACTCCCAAATTTCAGTGGTAATCTCTGTGTAGGTAATTTTAAAATCTTTCTTTTAAGCCATACTCTCATTAATATTTTAGTTCCAAATCTCTAGCATCCTACAAGATCTTACTTTATAAAGAAACCTTTATCTCTGTCTTTATGCTGTAGTAGCAATTTACAAGAAAAAAAATATATCAGTTATTCCACAAACTGATTACCTTCAGTTAAACTTTCTCTGTATTTCAATTAAACAGAACTGGTTTTAGTGTTCTAAGGATCAAGATTTTACCCTAAAAAGAGTTTTTAAAAATTATCTTGGCCCTCAGCAGTGTAAAGTTGATTGTAAATATAGACATGGTCACTGGCTTGAATTACACGAAGTTAAAAATATCTTTTAATGTTAGCCACCATAACTAAATACATTTTCTATAGAAAACCTAATCAATCAGCACATTAAAAAGCTAATCAACCACAATCAAGTAGGCTTCATTGCTGAGATGCAAGTTTGATTCAACATATGCGCCTGACCCCCCATCCCATCATGGGCAAGCATGCAATTCGTAAGGTTACTCTGGGGTCCCCTTGGCCAGGAAGTGGTCCGTTCAGTCAGTTGGGTGGATTTGAAATGATGAGCTGCATGAAACACTTATAGCTTACAGGTGAGATGCTTTAAGTAAAATTCTATTTGAAAAGAATGCCCTATGTTTATCATGGGATCTGGCTTCATGAACATTTCTGGAATAAACAACAATGTAAATTGGAAGCCACGTGGTTTTCTAGAGGGAAATCTTTGCACTGATCTTATTCTCAGTTTTCTTACTGACTTCTTGTGTGAGAAAAATTATAAAAAATCATCTTGTGCCTCAGGTTTTCGTTTTATAGAAAAGTACAGAACAATATGCCTTTCCTCTAGATTTCGAGATGTTGTGAAGAAAGGCAATTTAACATATAAGGTATGTATAGCCATCTAGAAGTAAGTAGGATAAAAATACAATTTATTATTGTTAAACTATTATTTAAGAGGATTTTATTGTTGGAAAGAGTACTTTGGATATGCGCTTATGTCTCATGGATTGTTCCAAAAAACCAAGAAAATCATAACATTCAATACTAAGTAAATTGTTAACTAATGGTATTTTAACTAGTGGGATCATTGGAAGGGTGGTTATGAGTTATAACAGCTAAAGACAGTTACAGTTCTCTCATCTAAAAAGGTGAATAAAGTGTTCTTCCTAGAGTTACTAGTTCCTATAAATGACATATTTATCGCTTCTAAGTAAGCTCATAAGCATGAATGCAAGTTCAGAAAGATCAAAACAAAGTAACAAGGCAATGTAGAAAAGTACACTATTTGTACTGTCCAAGGAGAAAAAAATGCTAGTCTCTTACAGTCCAAAATATGAGAAAAGTACCTTTTGTTCCTGCTTTTTCAAACTGCAATCAGTGCTTAGATAATTTTATATTAGAAAACAAAGTTTTACAAAAAATTGTATCAAACTTTGTTTTGTGTTAACTTTATTCTCACAAAACTGCTCTCTCTCTCTCTGTATACACACACACACTCACACACAGCTTTTGGTATAGAAAATTTGCACTATTTGCAAATTCTTTGCAAAAAATATGTTACATTTAGCCAACAAACCATGTGTAAATGGGTAACGAATGTTGACAGAAAATCCACAGAAGAGAAAAGCTGATTGTCCAATAAACATGTGAAAACATGCTCAGAATCACACATAATGAAATAATGCAAATGAAATTAACAAATATAATTTTATATTCATCAAGCTGGCACAAATTAAAGTATCTTAAGATATTGATATTGGCTAGGATGTAAAGTTATGGAGCAGAAATTTACTCTCACTGAAAGTGGGAGTTTACATCAATAAATAATTTTGGCAACATCTAATAAAGTTGCAGATGTATATACCCAATGGTCGAGATTTCCACTCCTAAATATAAGACCATGAAAAACTCACATAGACACATGAGAAGACATGTACAAAATATTAGTTTTAGAACTGTTTGTAGTAAAATGAAACCAGAACAAAAAACAGATTTTTATCAATATGAGAATAGAAAAACAGGTTTTGATATAATTCTACAATAAAATACTACTCAAAAATAAAAATAAATGAACTAGAAATAAATCAACATGAATCTAAATATAAAAATCATAACACTAAGTAGACTAATTTGTTTAGTCACAAGAGAGTGTGTACAAAAAGAATACTATGGAAGGTATTATCCTTTATGATAGCCTCGTGTATGTGGTACACATACACTGAGAAAGAGTTAAAACTGAGAAAGAGAAGAAGGCTGCACAGTGAGATATGAGGGTAAAATGTTAAGATTTGCTGCATAGCAACATTAAGCAACACAAATTGATACATATGAGTATATATGTGTATACATGTACATATTTAGTAAATATTTGTGTCTATATATAATTAATATATATATTTAAGACATTCATATTTAGAATATACATATTTGAAGTATATATTTATTTAGGAGTTATATATATATATATAATATATCTATATATATACACACACAAGTATTTGATACACAAATTTAATGAAATTCTCATCAACTCCTGCAAAAATTTTTGTATACATAGACAAGCTTCTTCTGTAATTTATAAGGAAAGGCATAGGCCCTAAAATACCTAAAACAATCTTGAAAAATGAGAATACGGTTGGAGAAATCTACCTGATACCTATTAGTAAGGCCTTTTATATAACTAGATTAATCAAGACTGTGTAATGTTAGCATAGAGAGAGATAAATAGATCAATGAAACAAAATAGAGAACCCAAAAGTAGGCCCACATGTACATGCTTGAATGATATTTGACAAAGTTGCAAAAGCAGTTTAATAGAAAAGAGATAGTCCTTTCAACAAATAGTACCAGAGCAAATGTACATCTATAGCCAGAAAAATGAACGTTGACTTAAATCTCACACTTTATACACACAGTAACTCAGAATGGATCACAGACTTAAATATAAAATGCAGAAAAATGAGTATTAGAAATAACAGAAAATCTTAGAAATAACAGAATGTCTACAATAACAGAAAGTCTACAAACAAATAGAATAGAATAACAGGTTTTGTTAATAACAGTCTACAAACAAAGTGTTTTTAGACTTGACATCAAAAGCACGATCCATCAAATGAAAATTTGATGAATTGGACTTGGTCAAAATTTAAAACTTTGCTTGGGTAAAAGAATCTATAAAACGGATGAAAGGACAAGCTAAAGTCAGAATATTTGCAAACCACATATCCAAGGAAAGACTAAGATCTAGACTATTTAGAGAACTCAACAATATTAAACTAAACAATCCAATTAAAAATGCACAAAGGACACCAAGAGACATTTTACCAAAATTAATTTTAAAATGTCAAGTAAGCATGTGAAAAGATGTTCCGCATCAGTAGCCACTGAACAAAAACAAATTTCAATCACAATGAGATGACTACACACTTATCAAAATGGCTTCAATAAGAAATAGTAACAACACAAAGTGTTGAAGATAATGTCGTAAAAGCAGATCACCCATATCTGGTGACAATGTAAAATGGTATTAGCCATTCTGGAAACCAGTTTGATAGTTTTTTTGTTTGTTTTCTGTTTTTTGCCCTAGGATGGAGTCTTCCTCTGTCACCCAGGCTGGAGTGGAGTGGTATAATCTCGGCTCACTGCAACCTCTGCCTCCTGGGTTTAAGCGATTCTCCTGCCTCGGCCCCCTCCGAGTAGCTGGGATTACAGGCATGCACCACCACACCCAGCTAATTTTTGTATTTTTAGTAGAGACAGGGTTTCACCATGGTGGCCAGCCTGGTCTTGAACTGGCTCGTCTTGAACTCCTGACCTAGTGATCTGCCCGCCTTGGCCTCCCAAAGTGGTAGGATTACAGGCATGAGCCACCGCGCCTGGCTGACAGTTTCTTATAAAACTAAATATGTGACCACCATATTACCTGGCACTGAACTTTGCATTTTTTCCACATAAATTAAAACTTATTTTAATACAAAAACCTATACATAAATATTCCTAGCAGCTTTATTTTTAATTGCCAAAAAGTAGAAACAACACAGATATACTTCAACAGGAGAGTGGTTAAACAAACTGTCATATATCCATACCATGTATTATCACTCAGCAATAAAAATAATGAACTATTGATACACAGAACAACTTGGGTGAACCTCAAAGAAATTGTGCTGAGAGAAAAAGAACATTTCCAATAGGTTACATATTACATGATTCTTTCTATATAGCATTACTGAAAAGACAAAATTCATGTATTTTACCCATTTTTAATGGGGTTGTCTTCTGCTTTTTAAGTTCCCTGTAGATTCTAGATAATAGGTCTTTGTGAGATGCATTTTAATGAATATGTTCTCCCAAAAGTTGAAATTTAAAAAAAAATACAAAATTATACAAATGGTCGAGCGTGGTGGCTTATGCCTGTAACCCTCAGCAATTTGGGAGGCCAAGGAGGGTGGATCTCTTGAGGTCAGGAGTTCAAGACCAGACTGGACAACATGGTGAAAACCTGTCTCTACGAAAAGCACAAAAATTAGCTTGGTGTGGTGGTGCACACCTGTAATCTCAGCTACTCAGGAGGCTGAGACAGGAGAATTGCCTGAAACCAGGAGGCAGAGGTTGCAGTGAGATGAGATCATGCCACTGCACTTCAGCCTGGGTGACAGAGAGCAGGACTCCATCTCTCCCTCTCTCTTTCTCTCTCTCTCTGTGTATATATATATATGCATATATACACACACACATATATATACGCATACACACACACACACACACACACACACACAGAGAGAGAGAGAGAGAGAGTGCAGATTAGTGGTTTCCAGAAGTTAGGAATAAGAGTGGGGTGTATTTGGATGTAATAGGGGTTCCATTGGGTTAGAAACTGCTCTGTGTTTTGTCTGCATCCATGCCATCATCTTAGTTGCAATATGTATTATAGTTTTGCAAGGTATCAGAAAACTGGATAAATGATACGAAAGATCTCTCTGTATTATTTATTACAACTGCATGCAAATAAACAAAATAAAATGTTTAATTCACAAAATTCACGATATATCACTATTGTGTAGAACAACCATTAAGTTTTGTTTGAACAGGTAAATCACTTAGGAAATACAACTCAACTAAACATTGCAGTAATCTTTTTTTTGCAAAGTATCTATAAACTGAATTATATATATATACTGCTGAATTGTTCTACTAGCTGGCTTAAATGCGATGAAGGAGAATCTTGAGAGAATATTGCTAAGTTTTATTGAAAAATCATCATTTTGGATCAGTTATATATTGTACTTTATGTTGTTAGACTGTCAGCTCTCGTGTTGGAAGCATGACCTGTACTCAAGGGCTAGGCAGACAGAAGTATTACTGGAGAAAGCAGGCAGTACCCAGATTTATTTCACATTTAATAATAATAGGTTCATTTTTTGAAATCTGACTCTATGAACAGCACTAAAACACTATACAAGAATTACATCATTTGGTCTATGGGGTGATCCTACTTCTAATAATAGTGGACTAGCTCCTATTGAACCAATACTTCTGTAGATAATAACTGTAAACCCTGGACAAAATATTATAAAAAGTACTTGAAGTCACTGAAGAGTGAAAAAAAGCAGGAAAATACTGGAGAAGACTTTATACATGGAAGGTGGGAATGGCAACATCATTGAGTGATTTTTTTTGATGGCTTTGAGCTTGAGGACAGGACATATTACATATACATGAACCAGCTACTACTTGGATATAAGCCTGTAGTTTTATTGTCTTGAAGAATTGGAGAATAGGGTTCAGGTTAACCACATAAGATGCACAAGAAATTAGAAAATTCCAGCAATAGAGGCACAAAGATGGTTTCATTAATTTTTAACATGAATTCAACTCTACCCAAAGTTTTGGCTTAACTATGTATGTATGGTGTTGGTTTTAGCAGCTTAGCTATGACTGAAGGAATTGAACAAAGACTTAAGCTGCATACCACTGAAAGTGAGGCAGTTTAAAGCTTGATTTCAAACAATATAACTGACTACTAAAACACACGGGGAAAATCAATACTCTTTGAAAAATGATAACGCAATCCAAAATCTATGCAGATGTATAATCAAAATGTCCAAGATAAATTTCAATTTCTAGACATGTAAAAATGTGACTTAAGAGAAAAGGCAACCCATGAGTATTAACCCCGACATATACCAACCAGATATTCGAATTAGCAGATAAGAATTTTAAAGCCAGTATTGTAACTATGTTCAAAGATGTAAAGAAATATGGGAGAGGCCGGGCGCGGTGGCTCACGCTTGTAATCCCAGCACTTTGGGAGGCCGAGGCGGGCGGATCACGAGGTCAGGAGATCGAGACCATCCTGGCTAACACGGTGAAACCCCGTCTCTACTAAAAATACAAAAAAATTAGCCGGGCGTGATGGCGGGCGCTTGTAGTCCCAGCTACTCGGGAGGCTGAGGCAGGAGAATGGCGTGAACCCGGGAGGCGGAGCTTGCAGTGAGCCGAGATTGCGCCACTGCACTCCCGCCTGGGCCACAGAGCGAGACTTCGTCTCAAAAAAAAAAAAAAAAAAAAAAAAGAAATATGGGAGATATCAGCAGAGAAATAAGTCATTAAAAAGAACCTAATGGAAAGTCTAGAGCTGAAAAAAATACAATATCTGAAATAAAAAAAAATTCCCTGGATGGGCTTAGCAATAGAAAGGGATCACAGAAGAAAGAGTTAGAAAATCTGAAGATAGAGACTGATAAATTATCCAATCTGAATAACAGAGAGAAAAAGAATTTAAAAAAAAACAACATTGATCTGTGTGACAATATGAAAATGTCTAATATATGTGTAATTTTAAATCTCAGAATGATAAATGATAATTAGTGGGTCAACAAAAATATTTGAAGAAAAAATAGCCAAAAAATTCTTTAATTTGATGAAAGACTTAAAATTACAAATTCAAGAATCTTAGCAAAACCTAAGCAGAATACATACAATGGCAATCACAATTTGGCATATCGTAATTAAATTGCTGAAAACAGATGTGTGTGTGTGTATGTGTGTGTGTATGCGCGTGTGTGTGAGAGAGAGAGAGACAGAAATTTTGACCAGTGAGTTTATACTAGGAAATAAATGGAAAACTGAATATTTTGTATACTGAATGAGAAAAAAAATTCAACACAGAAGCCTGTATCCAGAGAAAATATCCTATCAGAATGAAGAGTAAATACATACATTTCCAGACAAACAAAAACAAAGATAATTAATCACCAATAGAACTGTACTATTAGTATAAATGCCAAAGGATGTTTTCAGGCTAAAGGAAAATGGTACCAGATAGGAAATGAAATCTTCAAGAAGGAATGAAGTGTACTTGAAATGGTACATGTGTATGTCAATGTAAATTTAAATATAAAGTTAATATTTTAAAAATACATATGGCTGGTTAAAGCAAAAATACGTATGATATTCTATTGTGGGATTTATAAGGTGTGTGGTGGTAATACATGTGACAAATATAAATGATGAGATTGGTAAATTGATGTAGATAGTTGCAAGATTCTTACAATTTACTAGAAGTGACAATATTAACACTAACTAGGTGGTAAAAATGTAAGGGTGTATTTTCTAATACCAAGAGATACCACTAACAAAATAACGAAAAGAATATATAATTAATTAAAAAGCTAATAGATGTATTTAATTTCAAAAAAGTTCAATTGATCTCAAAGAAGGGAAGAATGCAACAGAAGAAAAAAATAGAAAAAACAAATAAACAAATGATAAAAAATAATAGGTCTAAATTCAACCATATAAAAATTTCTTTAAAATAAACATACTATATCGTGTATATGTGCCACATTTTCTTAATCCAGTCTATCATTGTTGGACATTTGGGTTGGTTCCAAGTCTTTGCTATTGTGAATAGTGCTGCAATAAACATACGTGTGCATGTGTCTTTATAGCAGCATGATTTATAGTCCTTTGGGTATATACCCAGTAATGGGATGGCTGGGTCAAATGGTATTTCTAGTTCTAGATCCCTGAGGAATCGCCACACTGACTTCCACAATGGGGAAAGGGAACATCACACTCTGGGGACTGTTGTGGAGTCGGGGGAGGGGGGAGGGATAGCACTGGGAGATATACCTAATGCTAGATGACGAGTTAGTGGGTGCAGCACACCAGCATGGCACATGTATACGTATGTAACTAACCTGCACAATGTGCACATGTACCTTAAAACTTAAAGTATGATAATAAAAAAATAAATTAAAAAAAAATAAAAATAAAAAATAAACATACTATATCATCTAACTAAAATAAATCTTTGAAGTTAGTGTTTCTTTTGTTTTCTTTTTACAGGTGAAAAAAATTAATCTATAGAGAGGATAATCACACAAGGTTATACAAGTGGTTCATAGAAGTGGTAAGTAGAAGAGCCAGAATTTAAACCCAGCCAGAGTCCATGTTTTTAAATCTCAAAATTATATCACTTAATATTTACTTGGGTCTGACTCACCATAAATTAATGTATACACACAAACACACACATATATATATATATAAAACTTGTGAGATAATAGTTCGAAACACAAACCTCATTAAGTCATTGTCATGATAATAGTGAAACAGAACACACACAAAACAATGAGAGAAAGACAAAAGACAGAATGCAAATATGTATTGAGTAGTACAGTGCAGTCTAGAAGTGGAAAAGGAGATGTACTTCCCTTAAAAAAGACGTCAGTGGGGATTGAAGTGTTCTGGTACACCTATGTGGAAAAGGCAAAACTGGGCATTGGAGGACAAAGGAATTCTAAATAGATGAAGAAGTTACCTTCAAGCTAAGAGAATAGCATGTGCAAGCACATTTAAATGAAGGCACTATCTTGTGGAGGACAGTGATAATATTAGTCTATTTGGCCTTATATCATATGCATGGGCAAGTCAATAAGACAGCTAAGTATTTGTAAGTGCTTGGATAACTATACACAAATAATTAATCTATCAATGTTCCAGTAGAAGAACCTATCTTATAGTGTGGCCAAGGGCTTTCTTTTGTCCTGTCTTGTTTTATAGTTTTTGAGAATGACTGGATTGGGAGCCATGATGACCACACACATATGCATTGAAGCTGAGAGGATGGTCAAACACATTGTTTAACCTGTTTAATGTGAAAAATTCTCTTATTTCACTGGAAAAAAATGGTCAAATCTATCAAGAAGACATTTAATATATACTTCTAATTGAACAAGTACAAAATATAGTGAGATGTTTTATAAAAGTTAGTATTAAAATTACTTCTGGATTGTATTATACGTTCATTCCTTCAGTTTCAGTTTCCTCATCTCCGAACACAGCTGACTGGATTAAATTATTTCAGTACTTCTTTGCAATTCTAAATTTCTATGGTTCTTTGCATCACAGTTGAATGCAACTGCAAAATTAGCCTATGTGATCTTGAGTGAATTAATAGGAATTTGAAGAACAGAGAATCTAGTCTGTGCTAGTCTGTGCACCACACTTGGGCACATTTCTAAGAACATGACAGACTGGAGTTTGTCCAGAGGCAAAGGATTCCTTGGTAAAGAAATAGAAACAATGATAACTGAAATATCAGAGGTTATTTATCATCATCCTTCAAAGCTTTTTCATTGCACCTAGGATAATTATTTTAAGAATTACTATGGTCTGCAGAGTTCTATGTGATGTGGCTCATACATTTCAGAACCAAACATAGAAATGTATCCATAGTGCAACTCAAACAGCAAGGAACCATTCAAAATAATCTTTTTATCTTTCATAGGAATATCATTAAAGACAGAAATTTTGATATTGATTTTAATAATCTTCAGAAAAGGCAAGTAATATGCACCCTCAGATCTCCCACTTGAAAACAGCCCACCTACTCTTTACCATCACCTTGGTTGACTCAGCCTTTAACTCACTGAATTTCAGCCAACCTGCTTTCAATCCACTAAATAAACGAAATTCTTTTTTGCCTTATAGTTTTCAAATATTTGATTTCTTCTTCTTGGAAAATTCTATTGCCAATTTTTCACTTGGCTAAATATTACATATTCTTCAGGTTTCAGCTTAAAATCACTTCCTCAAAGAAGCCTTCTAAAATATGCCATAGAAAAGAGGCCACCTGTTTTCTAATGAATCACCTAATTCTCTATTCTTACGCTTTAAGATTTTTTCATAGCACTCATCATGAGGTATAATTGCATAATTGTTTGAACGCTCTTTGAGATGAGAATTTTTTTTTGACAGAGTGTAATCTGAAATCCTTTATTTTTGGTTTACTAGCACAACTTAAATGGTTTTCAGTCCTGAGGCAGACCTCATACAGAGTAAAAAAAAATAAAATAGGAAATTAGAAAGCTAATTGTTTTGTACAGTGAATTGAAGAAGGTTCTAAATTCCTAGGGAGAGCCTGAGAGAATGGAAATTAGGTGCCGGAAAAATGGAGAGAAGAGATGATATGAAAAACGAGATCAGGTAGATAAAAACATAGGGTGCGACTCAATACTGAAAGAAATGGGAAATGAAAAATCTCTGGTGGTGGCAAAGGCCAAGGGATTTTAAGAATAAAGATGTCTAATGTTCTAAGTTGTTTGCTGGGCTGTAAATGAATTCCCTGAGAAACACTAGGTATACCAGTTTATTAGGGCTGCCATAACAAAATACCACAGACTGGGTGGCTTAAACAATATAATTTATTTTCTCACAGTTCTGGATGCTGGAAGTCCAAGATAAAGTTGTCAGCTGGGTTGTTTTCTCCCCAGATCTCTCCTGGGCTTGCAGATACCTGCCCTTTTGCTGTGTTGTCTCCTAACATTTTTCTGTGCACTGGCCTCCCTGGTATCTTTCTTTGTGTGCAAATAAAGACCATTCAGATTGTATTAGAGCCCATCCTAATGGCTTCCTTTAACTTAATCACCTTTTTTTAAAATTATTATACTTTAAGTTTTAGGGTACATGTGCACATTGTGCAGGTTAGTTACATATGTATATATGTGCAATGCTGGTGCGCTGCACCCACTAACTCGTCATCTAGCATTAGGTATATCTCCCAATGCTATCCCTCCCCTCTCCCCCCACCCCACAACAGTCCCCAGAGTGTGATATTCCCCTTCCTGTGTCCCTGTGATCTCATTGTTCAATTCCCACCTATGAGTGAGAATATGCGGTGTCTGGTTTTTTGTTCTTGCGATAGTTTACTGAGAATGATGATTTCCAATTTCACCCATATCCCTACAAAGGACATGAACTCATCATTTTTTATGGCTGCATAGTATTCCATGGTGTATATGTGCCACATTTTCTTAATCCAGTCTATCATTGTTGGACATTTGGGTTGGTTCCAAGTCTTTGCTATCGTGAATAATGCCGCAATAAACATACGTGTGCATGTGTCTTTATAGCAGCATGATTTATAGTCCTTTGGGTATATACCCAGTAATGGGATGCCTGGGTCAAATGGTACTTCCAGTTCTAGATCCCTGAGGAATCGCCACACTGACTTCCACAATGGTTGAACTATTTTACAGTCCCACCAACAGTGTAAAAGTGTTCCTATTTCTCCACATCCTCTCCAGCACCTGTTGTTTCCTGACTTTTTAATGATCACCATTCTAACTGGTGTGAGATGGTATCTCATTGTGGTTTTGATTTGCATTTCTCTGATGGCCAGTGATGGTGAGCAATTTTTCATGTGTTTTTTAGCTGCATAAATGTCTTCTTTTGAGAAGTGTCTGTTCATGTCCTTCACCCACTTTTTGATGGGGTTGTTTGTTTTTTTCTTGTAAATTTGTTTGAGTTCATTGTAGATTCTGGATATTAGCCTTTTGTCAGATGAGCAGGTTGTGAAAATTTTCTCCCATTCTGTAGGTTGCCTGTTCACTCTGATGGTAGTTTCTTTTGCTGTGCAGCAGCTCTTTAGTTTAATTAGATTCCATTTGTCAATTTTGTCTTTTGTTGCCATTGCTTTTGGTGTTTTAGACATGAAGTCCATGTTCAACATAGTGTTGGAAGTTCTGGCCAGGGCAATTAGGCAGGAGAAGGAAATAAAGGGCATTCAATTAGGAAAAGAGGAAGTCAAATTGTCCCTGTTTGCAGACGACATGATTGTATATCTGGAAAACCCCATTGTCTCAGCCCAAAATCTACTTAAGCTGATAAGCAACTTCAGCAAAGTCTCAGGATACAAAATCAATGTACAAAAATCACAAGCATTCTTATACACCAACAACGGACAAACAGACAGCCAAATCATGAGTGAACTCCCATTCACAATTGCTTCAAAGAGAATAAAATACCTAGGAATCCAACTTACAAGGGATGTCAAGGACCTCTTCAAGGAGAACTACAAACCACTGCTCAAGGAAATAAAAGAGGATACAAACAAATGGAAGAACATTCCGTGCTCATGGGTAGGAAGAATCAATATCGTGAAAATGGCCATACTGCCCAAGGTAATTTACAGATTCAATGCCATCCCCATCAAGCTACCAATGACTTTCTTCACAGAATTGGAAAAAACTACTTTAAAGTTCATATGGAACCAAAAAAGAGCCCGCATCGCCAAGTCAATCCTAAGCCAAAAGAACAAAGCTGGAGGCATCACATTACCTGACTTCAAACTATACTACAAGGCTACAGTAACCAAAACAGCATGGTACTGGTACCAAAACAGAGATATAGATCAATGGAACAGAACAGAGCCCTCAGAAATAACGCCACATATCTACAACTATCTGATCTTTGACAAACCTGAGAAAAACAAGCAATGGGGAAAGGATTCCCTATTTAATAAATGGTGCTGGGAAAACTGGCTAGCCATATGTAGAAAGCTGAAACTGGATCCCTTCCTTACACCTTATACAAAATTAATTCAAGATGGATTAAAGACTTAAACGTTAGACCTAAAACCATAAAAACCCTAGAAGAAAACCTAGGCATTACCATTCGGAACTTAATCACCTTTTTAAAGGCCTATCTTCAAATACAGTCACATTCTGAGGTACCGAGGAGAATCAGGGCTTTAACATATTAAATTGTTGTGGAGGGGCACAATTAAGCCCATAACACTGGCACAGAAGGTAAATGATTTGGTGTCTCATACCAAACAGAATTAGGACAAGAGTAACTGAATTTAAATAGCTAGAAAAAAGATAATCTCATAAAACAGACTTTGGTGTTATTCATTTAAGTGGCACTTTTGTTTCACTAGGTATTCTCACTTGTAAACATTTACAAAAGCTTAGTCACATAGTATAACTTTCTTTAATCTCAATCTTATTCTCATTTAACCAGTTTTGGCCTATTTCTGATCATGAATTTTATAAACTTGATTCCTATAAAATTACTTCAATTAAAAGAGCAAACATAAGAAAGAGGTCAACATATGAAAAAAAAATAACTCAAGATGGATTAAAAGCTTAAATGTAAGTCCTGAAACTATAAAAATTCTAAAAGAAAACCTAGGAAATACAATTCTGGACATCAGCTTTGGTAAATAATTTATGATTAAATCTCCAAAAGCATTTGCAACTAAAACAAAAATTGACAAATTAAACATAATTAAATTGAAAAGCTTTTGCATAGCAAATGAAACTATCAACAAAGAAAACAGACAACCTACAGACTGGGAGAAAATATTTGCAAATCATGCAGCCAACAGATTAGTAATATTTAGAATCTCTAAGGAACTTAATTCAACAAGCAAAAAAAAAAAAAACTCATTAAAAATAGGTGAAGAGCATGAACAGATGCTTCTCCAAAGAAAACATACATGCTGCAAACAAATACATTTAAAAAATGCTCAACATTACTAATCATTAGAGAAATGCAAATCAAAACCAAAATGAGATACTGTTTCACACCAGTCAGAATGGCTATTATTAAAAAGTCAAAAATAACAGATGCTGGTGAGGTTGCAGAGAAAAAGGAATGCTTATACACTGTTGGTGGGAGTGCAAATTCATTCAACCATTGTGGAAAGCAGTGTGGTAGATCCTCAAAGAGCTAAAACAGAACTGTCATTTGATCCAGCAATCTCATTATTGGGAATATACCTGCATTAGTCTGTTCTTTCACCGCTATAGAGAACTACCTGAGACTGGGTAATTTATGAAGAAAAGAGATTTAATTGACTCACACTTCTGCAGATTGTACGGGAAGCATGGCTAGAGGACTCAGGAAACTTACAATCATGGAAGAAGGGCGAAGGGGAAGCAAGCAACTTCTTCACATGGTGACAAGAGAGAGAAAGCGAAGGGTGAAGCTTTACACACATTCAAACAACCAGATCTCATGAAAACCCTATCATGAGAACATCAAGAGGGAAGTCTGCCCCCGTGATTCAATCACCTTTCACGAGGCCCATTCCCCAACACATAGGAATTATAATTTGACATGAAATTTGGGTGGGGACACAGAGCCAAACCATATCAATATCCAAAGGAAAAGAAACTGTTCCACCAAAAAGGTAAATGCACTTGTATGTTCATCACAGCTTTATTCACAATAGCAAAGACATGAAATCAGCCTGGATTCCCATCAACGGTGAACTGGATAAAGACATGTGGTATATAAACATAACGGAATACTACACAGCCATAAAAAGGAACAAAATTATGCCCTTGTAGCAACATGATTGCATGATTGCAGCTGGAGGCCATTATCCTAAGTTTATTAATTCAGGACTAGAAAACCAAATACCACATATTCTCACTTATAAGTGGCAGTGAAATATTGGGTACACACATGGACATAGAGATGGGAACAGTAGATGCCGGGAACTACTAGAGAAGGGAGTGCTTGCAGGGAGAGTTGAAACACTACCTATTGGGTACTATACTCACTACCTGTGGGGCAGAATCATTCATACACCAAATCTCAGTTACATGCAATTTACCCATGTAAAAAACCTGCACTTGTTTCCCCTGAAACTAAAATAAAGTTGAACAAAAAGAGGTCAAGTAATACAGTTGTGTTTATAACTCAAAAATTACTTATCATAAGTATTAAAAATGTAAACATATAAAATGTTTTATAGGTAAGTTGAGGAAAAACAAGAAAAAAAAAGAAAGTGAAAACAAAATTGTGGCACATTACCAGAGGAGTATTGAATCTTATTTTTAGGATCACATTTTAAAAATCACTAAAATTCTTCATGAATCACCAAGGAGCTTATAAAAATTAGACTTATGTAGTGAATAAAGTTGATTCTTTTAGAAAATGAGATCACTTTCTTCTTTGATAGTGACTATACGAAAATCACATAGTTTATAGAGATTTCTAAAGCTTTGAAATGTATTTTTTTCTTAAGCTTTACTCTCTAAAGCCATATTTCTCTTTCCAGTAATTTAAAATTTGTCATAATTCAAATAATCTTTACTGAGTTTATGTATATAAATGTCAAAGAATACCCAGAAAATTTTATTATTCATATCTATTCTTGGCACTACTCACTAGTTGATTATGGTGCTTTTCATTAATCTTTATAAAGTATAATATGATTCTCACAACTTTTCAAAACACTCTATTGCTCATATACATCTAAGAAATTATAAGATTCATGGCGTACTCTTCTTAGGCTGCTATGACAAAATATCACAGACTTACTGGATTAAACAACAGATATTTATTTCTGACAGTTCTGGAGTTTGAGAAATCCATAATCGAGGTGCCACCACAGCCGGGTTCTTGGTGATCTGTCTTTTCCTGGATGGCAGAGGGCTGCCTTCTTGCTATGTCTTCACATGGCAGAGGCAGAGAGACAGACAGACAGCTTTGGTTTCTTTATCACCTTACAAGGACACTAATCACATATTATGGGCTCTATCCTCAGGACCTCATCTAAAAACCACGCAGAAAACCCACTTCATAATACTATTACATTTGGAGTTGGGGATTCAACATGATAATTTTGAAGGAAGACAAACATTCATCCTCTAATCATTTGTGTAATTGTAGTTCTTTTGGTCACAAAAAAAGTTTCATTGCTTATTAGTGTACACCCATACCTCAGAAATACTACACCTCTGGTTCTTAATCACTGTAACAAAGTAAATATTCCAACAAAGCAAGCCACGCAATTTTTTATGGTTTCCCATTGCATATAAAAATTATGTTTACACTATACTGTAGTATATTTTTATACAGTTATGTTTAAACTGTACACTATAGTGTGCAGTAGCATTATATCTAAAACAATGTAAATACCTCAACTAAAAGTATTTTATTGTTAAAAATGCTGATGATCATTGCAGCCTTCAGTGAATTGTAATCATTTTGCTTGTGGAGAGTCTTGCCTCAATGTTGATAGTGGCTGAATGATCAGAGCAGTGGTTCTAAAGGTTGGGGTGGCTGTGACAATTTTCTTAAAATAAGACAATAAGGAAATTTGCCACGTCGATTGACTCTTCTTTTCATGAAAGATTTCTCAGTAGCATGTGATATTTGATAGTATTTTACCCACAATAAAGTTTATTTCAAAATTGGAATAAATCCTCTCAAACTGTTGCTGCTTCATCAACTAAGTTTGCGTGATATTCTCAATCCTTTGTTGTCATTTCAACAATGTTCACAGCAACTTCAACAGCTGTAGATTCCATCCCAAAAAACCAAATTGTATGCTCATCACTAAGAAGCATCTCCTTCTACATTCAATTTCATCGTGAGATTGCCGCAAGTCAGTCACATTTTCAGGCTCCTCTTCTAATTCTAGTTTTCTTGTTATTTGCACCACATCTGCAGTGACTTCCTCCACTGAGATCTTGAAGTCATCCATGAGGGTTGAAATCAACTTCCACCAAACTCATGTTAATGTTGATATTTTGACCTCCTCTCATGAATCATGAATGTGCTTAATGGCATCTAGAATGGTGAATGCTTTCCAGAAGGCTTTCTATTTACTTTGCCCAGATCCATCAGAGGAGTCACTATCTGTGGCAGCTATAGCCTTACAAAATGTATTTTTCAACTTTTAAGTTCATGGGTACATGTGCATGTTTGAGTAACTAATAGGTACTAGGTTTAATACCTACGTGATGAAATAATCTGTACAACAAACCTCCATGACACAAGTTTACAAAATGTATTTCTCAAATAATAATACTCAAAAGTTCAAATTCTTCCTTTAACCAAGGGCTGTAGAATGGATGTTGTGTTAGCAGGTATGAAAATAACATTAATCCCCTTGTACTTCCCATCAGAGCTCTTGGTTGACCAGGTCCATTATTAATGAGCAGCAATATTTTGAAAGGAATATTGTTTCCAAAGAGTAGGGTTCAAAAATGGGCTTAAAAAATTCAGTAAACCATGATATAATAGATGTGTTGTTATTCAGGCTTCATTGTTCCATACATAGAGTACAAGCAGAGTAAATTAGCACATTTCTTAAGAGCCTTAAGATTTTCAGAAACATAAATGAGCATTGGCTTCAACTTCAAATCACCAAATGCTTTCGCCCCTAACAAGAGAGTCAGTATGTCTTTTGAAGCTTTCAGTCCAGGCACTGGCTTCTTCTCTCCAGCTACGAAAGTCCTAGTTGGCATCTTCTTCCAAAATAAGAGTGTTGCATCAACATGGAAAATCAGTTGTTTAGTGTAGCCAACTTTATCAATTACCTTAGGAAGATATTCTGGATAAGTTGCTGCAGTTTCTACATCAGCACATGCTGTTTCATCTTGCACTTTTATGTTGTGCAGACAACTTATTTTCTTAAACCTTATGCACCAAACTCTGCTAGATTTATACGTATCTTCTGCAGCTTTTTAACCTCTCCCAGACTTCACAGAATTGAAGAGAATTAGAACCTGGTTCTGGATTATGCTGTGGCTTAGAGAATCTTGTGGCTGGTATGAACATCTGTCCAGACCACTAAAACTTTCTCCAGATCAACAATAAGGCTGTTTCACTTTGTTATCATTCATGTGTTCATCAGATTAGCACTTTAAATTTCATTTAAGAACTTTTCATTTTCATTCACAATTTGGCTCTTTGGCACAATAGCCTAGCTTTTAGCCTATCTTGGTTTTGACATTCCCTCTTCATAAGTTTAATTACTTTTGGCTTCCGATTTAAAGTGAGAGACGTGTGACTCTTCTTGTAACTTGAATACTTAGAGACCACTGTAGGTTTCTTAATTTCCCAATTATGTCTCAGGGAATAGAGAAAGGAAAAGACAGCGAAATATCTGTTCTGTGGAACAGTCAGAACACCCAATACATTTATTAATTAACTTGTCCATCTTATATAGGTGAGGTTGTGCTCCCCACAAACAATTACAACAGTAATATCAAAGATCACTGATTACAGATCACCATAACAGCTCTAATAATAATGAAAAAGTTTGAAATATTGTGAAAGTGATCAAAATGTGAGATAGAGACATGAAGTGAGAAACACTGTTGAAAAAATGGTGCTGTTATATTGCTTGATGCAAGGTTGCCACAAACCCTCTAATTATAAAAAAAATACACTAACTATATAGCACAATAAAGTGAAGCACAATAAAATTAGGTGTGCCCATAAAATAATATAGTTCTGTATATAAGTGGAAGAGGACTTTTACTTATTATTTTATGCCCTTTTATGTTGATTGAAATTTTGAAATGTGCATGTATAACTTTAATAATAAAATATTATATATGTCATGACATATGCAGACAAGATGGCAATCTTTTCAATAGTTTTGATCTGTGGCCATTTGTCTGGTAAAATACTTAGTGTTTTCTAAGTGGGATTGGTGTTGAAATGATAATAACACATTAGTAATGGATGCTGAGTAAGCACAAGTATCATAGCAGTAACAGCATATTTGCCAACTCTTATTGTACTTCTGTGGTAAAACCATACTTAATTCCCAATAACAGTGAAGTAATTAGACAATAGAAATTCACTAAAAGTATCATTTCTAAAGGAATGTGGCTATATCCAAATGTGGCTATATAGATTTCATCAAATTTCTATTTTTTTAATTGACCAAGTATGTGGCCAAGAAAGAAAAAAATGCATTCTTGGCTGGGTGCAGTAGCTCATGCCTGTGATCCCAGCACTTTTGGAGGCCTAGGAGGGTGGGTTGCTTGAGGCCAGGTGTTCAAGACCAGCCTGACCAACATGGCAAAACCTCATCTCTATTTTTAAAAAATACATTCTTAAAACTTATTTGCTGAATGAACGTTAGAGAAGTTATGATCCTAGAAACAACCCCAAAGCCCCTGTTCGCTTAATGAGTAAATAATTGATCATTGGCTTGTGTTCACCTTGGTTTCAGAAGTTAACTTCTCCCAAAGGTATAATATGAAATGTGCAAAGAAAAGTAATTGAGTTTCCCACTAAATTAAAAACTGCATGGTCATGCATATTAAGTGATCCAGGAAAAGTATACTATCAATAGGAATACATTCTTTAAAGGCAAAAATAAGTTCTATCCATCTGCTGTCTAATGCTTACCAATTTTTAAGTTCTTTACTTCAGTGTCACTTCTTTAGGGACACTGTTCATAGCACCATACACCAGACGGGGGAAAGTATTACACTCCTTTTACACGTGGTAATTTTTCTTCATAGCACTCAGCAGAAACTATTACTATGTAATGTTATAATTATCTGTTATCCTCCACTTTACGCAAACAGGGACCTTGTTTATTTGTTCATCATTGTACCATGAAAATTCATCAAAATGTCACATGGTTAGTAAACAACCCATAATTATTTGTTGAATGAGTAACTTGGGATGATAACACCAGCTCTAATACACTGCCATGAGCCATAGTGACCTAGTTTCTCACTTCTTAAAGGTCATACCAGCTTGAGGCCAGGTATACTTCCTACAATGCAGAAGGCAGTCCCTGCAACAGCCCTAGCACCAAATAGCAATAATGCTGAGGTTGAGAGTTCCTGGATCACATAAAGAGCTTGTATTATTATTTTTAATTAAATTTAGGTTCAAGTAAAGAATAGTAATATATGATAAGTATAACTGGAAATTATTACACCCACTTATTTCTTGCAAAATATTTTATTTCTACATAATGTATATAAATGTATTTTACCAATTGGTTTTGAAATACATACAACAAATACCGTATACATCTTTTATTTCATAGATACCAACTATGAAATATACTTTAAAATTTATAAGCAGGATTCACAGGTCACAAACACAACAGTTAACACCTTAAATCTTGAAAAAAAATTATGTGGTAGAGAGCTATGAGTTATGCTGGATGGAAAAATATGAAGGATCATTTACATAAAGAAATATCACTATGTAAGATTGCCTTTTGTTGACATCATTCAAGGCAACAAAGTCACAGTTTTTAAACAGCTACTTTCAATGGGTAATAGTTTTTTTAAATTTTTGCTTCAATAATCTATTCTCAGCATAAATTAAAGAAACAATATGATTATTTCACCTTGTTTCTTGCAAATATTGGGTATATGAGGTTATTAACTTAAGTATTTTGTAAAAGTTACACTGGTGTAGGACAAGTCTTTACACATGTGGCTAAAATATTTCATTGGTTTAATTATTCAAGCTTGGCTCGCTAACAACAAGGTTGCAGAATGTGTTTTTTTGTTGTTGTTGTTTGTAGTACAGAGTCCTATATAAAGATGTGTGTTGGAAATTAGCCCTATCATTATAAGCCTTATTCAATTCACGTATCCTTGGATAGGCAAAGTCTGGATTTTGTGTAATGTCTCTTTATTTATTTATTTATTTATTTGTTTAGGAGACCGTGTCTCACTCTCTCGCCCAGGCTGCAGTGCAGTGGCACAATCTCGGCTCACTGCAACCTCCACCTCCTGTATTCAAGAAATTCCCCTGTCTCAGCCTCCAGAGCAATTGGGACTACAGGCGTGCGCCACCACATCCAGCTAATTTTTGTATTTTTGGTAGAGACAGGGTTTTGCCACGGCCAGGCTAGTCTTGAACTCCTGACCTCAGGTGATCTGCCCAACTCGGCCTCCCAAAGTGCTGGGATTAGAGGCGTGAGCCACAATGCCCCGCCAGATTTTGTGTAATGTCTCTTTATTACAGAATACTGGGTAAGAGATTTGACAATACATTTAAAAATATCCAACCAGGAAAATTTCACTCGATTTTATAGACTGAGAACATTAGCTTGTCATGCAAATTCAACCCCAGCTTTCCTTAAAAGAGCTATGGCTTTAATTATTACAATTTATGCTTCCCTGCTACTCATTATCTTCTTACTGATGTAAAATTCTCAATATGTCTTAGCTTTCCATATCTTCTAATGGTGTATAGGAACAAGCATCATGGGCAGAATATTAAGTACATTCATATATTTTTCCTCATAAAACATGGGCTAAATTTACAAGATCATATCTATACTTAGATTTTATATTTCTAAGGAGAGGTAATAGAACATGGCCTGGAGTAGTGCGTTTTCTGAGGTACCATTAGCTTTGATTTTAATATTTCAGACTCGCGGACATGAACAGATATATACATATTTTTATTAATAATAAGAAAAGATTTAGGGCTTTTTATCATTCCAAAACAATCTCTCTTCGTACTGAGAGACTGTGCTGACATAAGTGGAGTTATGATTAATTAGAGAATATTGACTTGAGCTAACTTTTTTTTCCTATTTGGCATAAATGGGGTGGAGGAGAGAGATAGGCACATGTTACTCAGGACACTTTCACTAGCAGTATTTATTCTAGCATTGGGTTTCTTTGTAAAATATTCCACAATGTTATGTTTCAGTGCTACTCTCATCCTCCCTCCATCATCATCATCATATTTTTTAGAAAGTATCTTCCATGATTATCTATACTCCAACTTATCTGGAGCTAGATCCTTTCAATGTTTTCAAAAAATTGTTTCTGAGAAGTGCACTTGATTATCTGAAACATTTTCATTACTGACATTTTTTTAAATGGCTCTAAAAAGCCAGTATCAAATCATCAAATATTTAAGAGCTGGAGCCTGTCTAAAAAAGTTATCATACCAGAGTAATATATATTGTTGTGAAAACAAAAGCAATACTAACATTTGAATGAAGACAAGGAAAACAATTAGTACATATAGACAAATATAACAATACCTTTTGGATATCTGCACAAACAATAACTATTTTATTTTAGTTATCTCACAATAAGTTCCCAGAAGTAATACTATATTTAGGGTTCTGTACAGATCATTCCCTATTTATTTATATTTCTCTATTTGGCCTGGAAATAGTTGAAAGATGGAACATATTTTGTTTACTGTCTTATACTAGAGAGTGTGCCATTTAAAAATGAGATATTATTCTCACCATTGTTTTCATTATATCATGCTTTATTCCTTAGTTGCATTTTATTTCCCATTGCAAAGTTTGAATCAATTTTCCCATAATAGAGCAATATTGAGTTTGACATTTCCCCCTATCATAGTAAAAATAAGATGTACTTATATTGTATGTGTGTGTATACTTATTTTTGAGGCATCACCAAACCCTGAGCAAACACCATTCAGGTATAATGGTGTATAGTTGAAAGAGAAACTGTTTTATGAAAGAAAAAATAAAACCTTTTATTTTGTCTAGGAAATGATAACGTAACCTAATCTAATTTGTACCTTTTATAGAAAGGCAAAAAACTTGAAAATAAATATTATATAAAATATTATATATTTCCAAACCACTATTCAGTACCTATCATTTGCAAAGGTATTAGGTTAGTGCAGAAGTAATTGCAGTTTTTGCCATTACTTTCAATTGCAAAAACTATTTCAAACTGTATTCCCTCTCCCCACCCCACCCCCAGACACACACAATTTTATTTGAATCAATCCTAGATTTCTTCTGATTTTTCTCAAGGAATATCTTGAAGTTCTCAAAATAAAGTGAATTTACATTTCTTTTCACCTAAAAATAACATATATATCGTCTACCAAGTCTTAGGAGGAGGCAGAGAACACTGGGGAATTAAAGATATGACAACCCCCAAAATGTTAGAATCACTGACTTGATAGTAAATAATAGGTTGCTCAGAAATAAGTGTAGAATTATCTGAAACAATTCTGCAACCATTGCTAGTATATAGGTAAATATATAGCTCAGAGACTTGGTGGTGGGTTCCTGAGCCTGTTGCTTCTCTAGGTCACTGGTACGAATCACATTCAAGTTAACTATGATGTAAATTTCTACGATCAGACAGCTCTTGATTACCCAATGTAAATTGAGCTGGTAATTTTTCTTCACTATATGAGTCACTAACATATGAAACAAAAGAAAGCCTAATGGAAAGTTTTATTTGGCAACATGTATAAAGCAAACCAAGAAGTTAAAAGACCTTAAAACAAAAGTTCAATCTGACAATCCAGCAGTCTGGCAGATGCTACAGAGGGAGTAAAAGTAAGGTGTTAAAAAAGCTTACAGAATTAAGATGATAAAGAATGCAGAGAATAGAACACTATCCCTGGAAAAACTGGCTATGGTAGGAAGAAACAGCTTTCTATATCATGAAGACAGAAAATATATAGAAAATAAGAGAGAGTTAGCAAAAACAGACTTTTTATATGTGCTCGTATTCTAGAGCAACACTGTTGGATCTTTAACATTGTATGCTATCTACTAAGCGTATGCAGAGTGAGCTCCACATATATTGACTATCTCCAGAGGAGATGATTCTATATATCTCAGAATATACTAAAAACCTTTAAATCATACACTTTAAATAGGTGCATTTTATAGTACATGACCTTTTAGAAAAGAAACATAGGCCAGGCGTGGTGCCTCACACCTGTAATCCCAGCACTTTGGGAGGCCGAGGCAGGCAGATCACAAGGTCAGGAGTTCCAGCCCAACCTGGCCAACACGGTGAAACCCTGTCTCTATTAAAAATACAAAAATTAGCTGGGCATGGTGGCGGGTGCCTGTAATCCCAGCTACTCAGGAGGCTGAGGCAGGAGAACCCCTTGAACCTGGGAGGCAGAGGTGAGCAGAGATGGCACGACTGCACTCCAGCCTGGGTGACAGAGCGAGACTCCACTCTGTCAGGGGGTGCAGGGGCAGGGGGGAGAAAAGAAACACAAATGATACAATAACAACAAAAATGATAAGAATCATTTCAAATAAGGCAAATCCCATGAAAATGTGGCACCTGTTTACAACATTGCCCTCAATATTCTGAAAAATTGCATATAGGAAATGGATCATTTGACTAAATGTGTAGTATCAGTTTGCAAGCTTCAGAGAACAAAAGAAATGCAATCACAGACAATTTGAAAGTTATTTCAGTCATAGACATCTTAAATGAAGGGTATGCCAGACACTTCAAAAAAAAATAAAAGATTCATGCCCAAGGTTACTCTTTCATTCCAAATTTGAAACATTTCTCTTTCTGCAAATATCTATTATCTAGTGTTAGTGGAAAGGTAATGAACAATATCTTTTATCTTGAGTTAGGAAGACCCAGAGAGCATAGTGTATTGATAGAGAGTAAAAATGAAATGTTACTGAGAAAGTTGCATGAGGTTTTCAAAAATTGTTATTTAAAGCTTTGATTGGAATATTTCAGACTGGTGGCTATGTATACCATGTTACTTCTACCTTTTTAAGGATCCAGAAATTGTGCCCCATGTGCTCCAAGTTCCCCCAGGTGAGCCCATGGATGGAGGATCAGTCTCTGCTTTTTCTTTTTCTTTTATTTTCTTTTTTGAGACTGAGTCTTGCTCTATCACCCAGGCTGGAATGCAGTGGAGCGATCTCCACTCACTGTGACCTCCACCTCTCAGGTTCAAGTGATTCTCCTGCCTCAGCCTCCCGAGTAGCTGGGATTACAGGCACCCGCCACCCGCCACCCCCCCCCCCGGCTAATTTTTGTATTTTTAATAAAGATGGGGTTTCACCATGTTGGCCAGACTGGTCTTGAACTCCTGACCTTAGGTGATCCACTCACCTCGGCCTCCCAAAGTGCTGGGATTACAAGCTTGAGCCACCGAGCCCGGCCTGGATCATTCTTTAAGAAGAGAACTGGTACTTTCTCACTACATTACATATACCAAGTAATTTACATATATTATTTAATATTCGGCATAATCTTTCAAATTAGGTATTGTTACCTTCACTCTCATAGTTGAGAAACCCAATTATCAATAGTTAATTAAATTACCTAGGGCTTACATATTGAAATGGTGGAATGGAGATGCAAAGCACCAGGTCTATGTGGCTGCAAAGTTTGTGCTCTTTCTTGCATTACTCTATTGTCTTCAAAATCAAATTCGGTAAGACTGAATAAGAAATATGAAACGTCAGGAGTCTTCACACGGGAAAATGGATTGATTAATTAATACAATGAACCATATATTTAAACTTCTAAAATGATAAATTGTAATAAGAAATACACACACACCCCCCCCCACACACACACGCACATATACATTACCTTCTGGTTACCAGATACCAAATTTTAAACCCCTCACTAATCTAAGTAATTAGTAATCTTTGTATATCTATTTTTATTTTCAAACATCAACTAGAAAGTATAGTTTCAGTTAAACTTGATTAAGATGAATTTAATTGTGGCACAATTCACTTGCAGTTCATGGTAATAAATTTGCTAAACCTAAAAGATTCAAAAAAGCCTTTTCTCCCCTCAAAACCAACGTTTTCATAAGCACAATATTAAAATGCTTTTTCGAAAACTATCCCAAAATCAGAATTCAGCCATGAGAATGACCTAAATATCAAACATTTCCAGCCTTTGTGGGCTCTTTTACTGCTTGAGAAATTGTCACTTTAAAATTATGATCTGAACTGGGTACTCAATTGCATCTGCTTTCACCACAAGTCAACCTATTTGCTCTCCACCTCAGCACTTTGAGCTATCCTTTCCTATCTTGATGAATTTCAACTACAGTCTCTCAAGCTTGAGTCAACTTGTCTTCATATGTGTCATTGTCTGTCTGTTCCAAATTCTCCCTCAAACAGGCTGCTTTTTCCAAAATTATTACAACTTAAGGAAAACTGCATGTTTCCACCTTCCCATCCAGCATGTCTTGCCTTCTTCTTCCTCCCAGAGACTGTAGTAACACACAATTTTCACCTCTACATTTAACACTGCAAATGAAAATTGATTCTGAGTGGCATAAAGGCTATGTAAAGATGGAATGCTTGGATGTGTAGGACAGTAAAATTCATTTATTTACAGCAAGATTCTTGGATTCCAGTGACCTTTCCAAACATGCTAATTCACTAAGTCAAGTAATGTTGTATATTACAAAAGATAATTTCATTAAATTAATAGAAATGGTAAACACGAATACAAAATAAACCTAAACAGTCAATAGAGAAACAGATTTATTTTTATTTTGACAAAACAGATTTATTTTATCCCAGAAAATGTTGTTTTAACTTTCTGCATTTCATACAAGTAAGGTCAGATAATTAACATTATCTAGGCACTTTAACTTCTGGTGTCTCTGTAACAATATTACAGCATCCCAATGCCTTTGTGGTGAAAACCTGTTCAGCAACATGTAAAATATAAAATGTAGTATATACATCACTGTACCTTAGTGTTTGTGTAGGTATATACTCATTATGTGTGTGTACATATATATGTGTGTTTATATATGTGTGTGTGTATGCACAGTTGATACCCATCATTAGGGAATTTCATATTTACCTACTGGCTATAATGTATTTGTAACACCAAAACTAATATTCACAGTGCTTTTAAGGTCATTTGCAAACATACACAGAGCAGGAAAAAAAATTGAGTCTCCTGATGGCAGCCGATATCTCCAGCTGAGGTCAAACAAGGCTATGATCTGCACTGTTGTCTTGGTTTTCATACTGTAATTGATTGCCTTTTTACAGTTTGTTTATTGTCAAATCTATTGCACTTTTGTGCTTTTTATTAGTATTTTGCTGTTTAAAATGGCCTCCAAGCATAGTGCAGAAGTACTGTCTAGTTTTGCTAAGCACAAGAAGACTGTGGTGTCCCTTACAGAAAAATGCATGTGTTAGATAAGCTTACTTCAGGCATGAGTTATTGTGCTGTTGGCCATGGATTTAATGTTAATAAATCAACAATAGATATTAAATAAGGTACGTTTAAACAGAAACATACCTATATAAGGATTGTGTATTGAATAGTTGATGAAAATATTATGACCAGAGGCTTGCTGGAACCTACCCCCTAGGAGGTTCACCTAGGAGCTATGCTTTAGCATTTGCAAATTCAGTGCTCATAGTGACTTTTAGAACCTAACTACTGCAAATAATGAGAACTGACTGTGTACTTGTGTGTGTGTATTATGTAAAAAAACAGCAGATTGAAAATGATACTAATAATGCAAAGGCAAACAAATAATAGAAGAATGGAGCAGAAAATGTTCTTGCTAATTCACATTAGACAGCTAAGGAAAAAATGATTATCCAATCAGATATAACAGGAATTCAGCCAAAAATTCTAAATTATAAAGATAATTTGAAGTATGAATTTATATCAATGATCACTAACAATAAACTTTACCTTAAGTGGATATTACACCTTGACATATTTATTAATAAATGTATGGAATCATCAAAACTATGAACATATTCAAAATAATTATATCATTTTATGTAATTCTTAAATGTTTAAATAGGTATTTTTCACAGTTGTATTAAAGAAATATATACACATATTGTGGCTCTATGTTTAAAATATTTTACTGGTTGGAATTGATGTAAAATGTTTCAAGACTATTCTTTGATCACATAGTTCCTAATATATAGGAGTCATATTTCTTCTTGTATAGTCTGAGTACATTACAAATGAATTCTATTCAATAGTTTGATAAGATAGTAAACTTTTTTATATTTTAATTTTTCCTCTATGCTAGTTCTGAAATACACAGAATTGGCACCAATGAAGTTTGCTCTTTTCACTTCTACCATTATTACAAGTTGTAATTCACCCCCCAGAAAGTAAATAATTTCTCAAATATAGTTTGAAAATAGTTTTTAAAAAAATTATTTTGTAGCACTAAGTAGAGCTCAATTGTTGACTATAAAGTGATGTGCATTTTCTCAGTGGAAATTAGATCCAGAATTATTAGGGTCTTAACTAAAAGAATACCCTACCATAATTGTAGTCGTGCATGTCTGCCCAAAGAGCTTGCTTATAAAATTCACTGCCGATAAGTAGCCGAAGTCTCATTTTTTTCATTACAGAATTTATAAGGTCTTAATTGACAACAAATAAATATAAATTATATCATAAATAATGGTAAGTCTTGTTTATGCTCTTGATATGCGAGTCTTTCTTTCCTATTTGGTGGCAGAATATTTGTCTTAGCCCCCAGAGAAGGGAAGGAGACTTATTTTTTTTCTGTTAGTAGCAAATATGCATATGATCTTTGGTCATTACAGTCTTTTCAGGTAGATGAAGTTCTAACCAAATTTAGTTTGAGTGAGAGTTTTGACACAAGTAATTCTTATTTTTGATGCCTTCTCGAACTTTGCCTTTTGAAGATCAATTTATATGGGGTCCCTTCCTCTCATGTTGTTCTATGTTACGCATATACTCTCAAATTAAATCTTCCCATTCTTCCTATACACTATACTCGGACTCTACGTTTCCTTCACTGCTTCCTGTATTAACCTGTCCTCAGCTCGCTTTATTACTCTCAATGGTATTTGCATGTGGACAGAGGATGAATATTGAAAGAAAAATAATGATAGAATGAGAGCCATCAGTAACAGATGTTTGAGAGGATGTGTGTGCATGTCAGTGTGTGCATATGCACGTGCAGACAGCCTTCCAAATTACTAAAATTTCCAAACAGATACATATATTTTAACAAAGAAAGCTGTGCTTGAATCTAAACTACAAAATTTAGGAGAAATTTAACTTTAAATAATACACCAGCATTCTTTAAAGAACTTACAGGCTGACAAAATTAATCTAGAATTCAATAATAATAATAGAGAATAATTTAACGTAAGCCCTCATGTTAGAGTTTAGCTTCATTTATTTGTTTTTATAGCCCAGTGGCAATATGGCATGAATGTAGCCTTCATACATCTGATGATCCTTACTAAATATAACTATGATCAACTAATCTAAATTAAATGTATGTTTTCATAGCACAAACACACGTAAACAAATTTAATCTAAATTGAATAACTCTATTTTCTTTAGCATGTTATCATTCCCCCCAAAGTTTGAAAAACTGTAGCATCCTGTTCTCTTTTCTCTATTTATCCTGAATCCCCAGACTAGACTACTATATGAGTCTCCCGACTAATCCCTGGTTTTCAAAGTTTACTACTTTATTGCATCTTTCGTCCTGCCATCAGATCTATCTTTCTAAAACACATGTAAATCATGCCACTGTCTTTCTTCAAAATTTGTCATGATTTTCCATTGCCTTTGTCATACAATCTATATTTCTTAGCATGAGATTCATTATCTCCTTTCAACCTCATCTTAGCAAAATTGTTCTTTTAAAAAATGACTGTGGACAGATCACATATACAAATTACTACAGCACGAGATTATAAAATTATATATGTGACACAAGTAAAATGTAATGAATTTCACCAAAAATGTGTTTAGAAGCTGGTCCTTGTCTCCCTTGTGGATCCTATAATATAGTGTAATTTAAATATAGAGATGCAGTCCAAGTAGAATACAAGACAGAATGTGATATGTATGATTTGTAAAGTCTTACAAAGGAATGACTATTAATAAAAAATAGAAATAGAGTAATATTTTTTGGAAAATTGAGCATTTGAACTGAGCCTTGAGATACAAGAAGGGTTTTACTTGATAAAGATAGCAGGAAAACACTTCTCCATTTTAAGGTGACATGGGCCTGAACTAAGGTAGTGGTGGCATAAATAGAAAGGTAAGCAAAAATATCTGACACATTAGCATCATTAAGACTTTTAATTTATATGAGATATGAGGAACAAGATTTCTAACCTTACAGAATTCTGTCTTGTTTAACTTGCTGCTTTCGCCAACCAAGATTGGGTCATGGGGAAGAAAGAGTTTGGTGAAGAAATAAGTTACGTTTGGGGTGTCTATAAGATATACAAATGCTAGCCAGGAGGCAGATAGAGTTGCAAGGTCTGTTGCAGAGATAGAGGTCTTGAAAAAAGGGGTGCTGCAGTGTGGTCTTGATGCTGCATGAGGGCTTTGAAAGCCTGAGGCTGGGGTGGCAGTGAGAGAATCAAAGGAGGAAGGCTATTGTTGAAAAAGCAGTGGAAATAGCTCAAAAAACTATGTCATCTAAGTCCTCAAATCATCTCACTTCTATCACATGTGTTTGGGGCTGGGGTGAAATGAGACAATCTGGGAAAATGCTTAATCCCACATGCCTTCATGTCTGACTGTATTCCAAAACAAAATCAAAGTGATTTCCTAGATTAGCTAAGTTTCCCCTCCAACCTCTCCTCTCCGTTAACACAGTAATTTATTGCTATTATAATTATTTGACATCATGTAACAGATATTACTATAATTTTTGGATATTATAGTGATTCAGCATATTTATAGCTATCATTTCTCTCAGAGAACAACCTGTTCATTTGCATACACAATAAAATGTGACTATTATCAACCCAAAACATTGTAAATCAAAAGATAAATTCTGATATGAGTATAAACTGTGGGCAATTTGCTTTGCTTCTGAGAGTCATCCCTGTGAATGGGCGTATCATTTCACATATCTTTTGTAACACATCATAGGAAGAAGCCTAATGCTTCAGGTCCTGATCTTCAGGAGCTAAACTTAATTTAAGCTGAAAATGTGGGCCATAAACTTTTTTGTAATAGATAAGAAAACTGAACCTAATTGGAATTGTTCTTCTCTAGTTCCTAAAGTTTATGGCATTAGGTACATATTTGACATGATAGTGAAAAATTAGGGACGAAGTAGTACTCGTAAAATTGATGGGGAAAGTCCTTGGGCAAGTTCTGTATGGATAGAGGTGAAGACTTCTTTGGTCATTTCACTTTCTGATATATAAGGCCATCTATACTCTAGCTTTAGTTAGCCACCCATATTGCTTACAATTTTCCAAACGAGACCATCTATTTCAGCCAAATTGTTGAACAAAACATTGCTTATTATTCCCTCTTTTCCTTTGTTCACATCATTCTCTATGATTTGAATAATCACCACTTTTCCTCTGATTATTCAAATCCTACTTATCTTTTAATGCTTATCTCAGATCTTACATGCTCCATATTTAATGAGTATTCCTTCTTCTTATATCAGAAATTCTTAATACCTACAGGGTTTATGCATGGGTTTCAGAAGGTTCTTGGATCCTCTAAAATGTTTACATTCTTATTATAGGATAGTTCATAGATTTTATCCGATTTTCAAAGATGCGAATTAGTTAAGGTTCTACTTAGAACATTTGTTATCTCTTTCATTGCTGGTTTCCTGTTCAAATATATATTTCTCATAATTTCACGTAAGTCGAAAGTGACATTGATATGATTTATTTCCTACATGACACAGGGTATAAAGTTCCTTAAACGTGGTGGTAACTACTTAGCATATAATAGTTGATTTATCTTTGAGCTACTTTGTATTAAATGGTGACCCTGCCCTATGTGTGTGGCATCTTAAATACCCATATATACACCGCAGCTCACTGACAGCAGTGAGACAACCTACAAACCATGCAAATTTTGGCCTTGGAAACATTCTCAGTCAACTCACTAACTTCAGTTCCATAATGCAATCATCATTTCAGCTAATAATATAATTCTCTTGAGAGTTCTATTTTTATGACTAAACCTAATTAACAGACAATTGATTTTATGAATATTTTCTGCAACTGACATCATTCAAAATATTTCTAGTTAACACTTAAGAAACTCTACTTACATATTCCACGTATCCCAGTAGAAATACATGGTCCCAGCCTTCAAATCAGACACCACAATCACAAAATAATTTAGGAGACACTGTCTGTAGAAAAGATTATAATTATTTTAAATTAATATAGAAATTTAGAATAAAGTTTCTTTGAAGATTCAGGTTAAGAAATTAATCAAAATGAAACAGATCCATGAGGTAAGGTTTTGTATGGGTAAATTACATGAATGTTTCATCCAATTTTGAGAAATATTAAAAACAGAGGTGTTAGGCAGAATGTGTTATATATGCAAATTCACAAAACCAAATAAATTGTGTTCATAGAGAAATGAGTAATATAAGCTAGGTTGTGGAATGAGTTAGGGAAAACAAGAAATAAGATTAGTAGAGGAGTGATGTCAGCAAGATAGTGGAAAAGAAGTCCTCAGTCCTTGTCCCTTCACAGAAACATCAATTTAGCAAATATTCACAGGTGAAAATGCCTTTGTGTAAATTCTTAAGCACAGAGGTGAGGCTGCAGCGTCCTAATAAAGCACAACAAAATGAGAAAACTTCATTAAAAGGGTTAAAATAAACGGTTTCACTTTGTTCACATTGCTTCTCCCTTAAGCTGGTATAGCACCATGGGGAGAAGGACCCCTGTGACCCATGAGTTCTCCAGTGCGGGAAAGAGAGATAAAGGTAGATGTTTCACTTCAACAATTTGGGGTGCTTAAGTGTAAGAGATCGAGTTTTGTTTTGCTTCAGGCAGAACACAGGGGAAATTGGCACTGCTAGACCATTGGGGACAGCTAAGAACAAAGAAAAGAGATGGAGCTCTCAGTGACCAGCACACAGATTCCAGTGGTAGCTCTGCACCCCCTGACAGCTATGTTGCCCAAACAGAGCCCTCACCATTAACCTGTCCCAACTTTGGAGTCCTTATAGCTGGCAGTGCCTGACTGTGGAGCCCAACCAGCAGCTCTAGCCAACCAGAAAGCCTACCCAGAGGCCTTCCCAACCCAGGAGTTTAGCCAGCATCCTATCCCAACCACAGACCCCAGAAAACAGCCTCATCCTACCAGAGAGCTTAGCCAGCAGCCCCGCCTTACCATGAAGCTCAGTTGAGTAAATGCTAAACAACACAAAAGCATATGAAACTACAAATCTCACTGATGAAAAGAAATGTTTAAACAAACTGTAATGGCGACAGAGAAATCACTTTTAACCCTGGTATAAAAGTATTTCTTAAAGTACTTAGAAAATTACAACCACAAAAACTTGTTAATGAGCACACAATATAAAAACAAATTGGCCGGGCGCGGTGGCTCACGCCTGTAATCCCAGCACTTTGGGAGGCCAAGGCAGGTGGATCATGAGGTCAGGAGATCGAGACCATCCTGGCTAACACAGTGAAACCCCGTCTCTACTAAAAATACAAAAAAATTAGCTGAGCTTGGTGGCGGGCACCTGTAGTCCCAACTATTCTGGAGGCTGAGGCAGGAGAATGGCGTGAACCTGGGAGGCGGAGCTTGCAGTGAGCCGAGATTGTGCCACTGCACTCCAGCCTGGGCGACAGAACGAGACTCCGTCTCAAAAAAAAAAACAAAAAACAAAAAACAAACAAACAAAACCCAAATAACCTCTGATAGCAATAGTGTGTGGGGGAAGAAGTAAAACTGTAGAGTTTTTTTTTTTTTTTTTTAAGACAGAGTTTTGCTTTTGTTGCCCAGGCTGGAGTGCAATGGCGCAACCTCGGCTCGCCGCAACCTCCGCCCGCCGCAACCTCCGCCTCCCGGGTTCAAGCAATTCTCCTACCTCAGCCTTCCGAGTAGCTGGGATTACAGGCGTGCGCCACCACGCCTGGCTAATTTATTTTTTGTATTTTTAGTAGAGATGGGGTTTCTCCATGTTGGTCAGGCTGGTCTTGAACTCCTGACCTCAGGTGATCCGCCTGCCTTGGCCTCCCAAAGTGCTGGGATTACAGGCGTGAGCCACCTTGCCCAGCCCAGCTGTAGAGTTTTTTAACTTGATTGAAATGGTTATCGGCTTATAATGAATGGTTATAAAAATAATAATTTCAATGCAAGTCTCATGGTAAGCACAATTAAAACTTATAGTAGATAAATAAAAGATAAATAGAAAAATATTAACCATATCACCATAAAAAATCATAGACTTCAGAGAAAGACAGCAAGAGAATAGGGAGGAATGAGAAAACTACAAAATAGCCAGAAAATGATTAAGAATATGGCAATAATAAGTCCTTATCTATTGATAATTTTATTAAATGTGAATGTATTAAACCAGTCAAAACATATCGAGTGGCTGGATGGATAAAAACAATACCAAATTATGTGCTGTATACAAGAGACTCACCTTAGACTCAAGGACACACATAGGTTGAAAGTGAAAGAATGGAAAGACATTTCATGAAGATAGTAACCAAATAAGAGCAGAGGTGATATATTTGTATCAAGTAAAACAATTTATATAAAAAACCGTTACAATAGGCAAAGTCATCACATAATGATAAAAGGTCAATACAATGGTAAGATACAAAATCGTAAATATATATGAACCCCAGATCAAAGCACCTACATACATAAAGCAAACATTGACAGATCTCAAGGGAATAAAAGGGTATAATACAATAACAGTAGGAGGCTTCAATGTTCAACTTTTAATAATGGATAACCATTCACAAAGGAAATTAATTAGGAAACAGAAGACTTAAACAACACTATAGACCAAGTGGATCTAAAAGACATTTATAAAACATTCCATCCAACAGGAGTAGAATTTTCATTCTTTTCACATGCACATAAAGTATTCTCTGCAATAGGTAACATGCTAGGTTACAAAAGAAGTCTTAACAAATTTAAGAAAACTGAAATCATTCCATGTATCTTTTCTAACCACAATGGAAGAAGAGAAGAAATTGATAACAAAAGGAAATCAAGAAAAGACTCAAATACATGGAAATTAAGCAACATACTCTTGAACAACTATCAGGTCAAAGAGGAAAGCAAAAGGAAAATCAGAAAATTTCTCAATACAAATAAAAATTAAAATGTGCCATACCAGCATGTGTGGGGTACAACAAAAGCATTACTAAGAGTGAAGTTATATTAATAAATGACTACATTAAAAAATAAAAGTGTTCTCAAATAAGCAACCTAATAGTACACTTCAAAGAGCTAGAAAAGAACCACAAATTAAGCTCAACGATGGCAGATTGAAGGAAATAATAAAGATTAGAGAGGAAACAAATGAAATAGAGGATAAGAAAACAATATAAAAATTGATGCAACGAAGAGCTGGCGTTTGACCATATGAATGAAATTGACAAATATTTAGTTAGACTAGCTAAAATAAAAAGAGAAGAAGAGGAGGTGGAGCAAGATGGTGGAATAGAAGGCTCTAAAGATGGTTTCCTCTGCAAGGGCATCAGTTTAAAAACTATCTACACAGAAAAACACCTTCATAAGAACCAAAAATCAGGTAAGCACTCATAGTACCGGGTGTTAACTTCATATCACTGAAAGATGCACTAAAGAGGTACAAAAAACAGTCTTGAATTGCAATCGCCACCACTTCCCCACCCCCTGCAGAGGTGGCATGGTGCAGAGAGTCTCTGGGTGCTGGGGAAAAGAGAGCACAGCAATTTTTGAGGTAATGAACTCAGTGCTGTCCTGTCAGAGCAGAAAGAAAAACCAGGACAAACTCAGCTGATATCTGCCCACAGAGAGAGCATTTAAACCAGCCTTAGCCAGAGGGGAACCCTAATCCAAGTGATCGGAACTTGAGTTCCTGCAAACCTTGCCACCAAAGGCTGAAGTGCTCTCGGTCTCTAAGTAAACTTGAAAGGCATTGTAGGCCATAAGGATTTCAAGTCTTAGGTGACTCCCAACAGTGAACTGGGCCCAGAGAGAGTGGCCTGGAGGAAGCATGAGACCTACCGAGACACTAGCTGGGACAACTAAGGGAGTACTGGCATTACCCCTCTCCTAAACCCAGACTGCACAGCTCATGGTTCCAAAAGAGGCCCCTTCCTTCAGCCTAAGCAGAGAAGAGGGAAGAGGAGGGAAGACTATGTCTTCCATCCTGGATACCAGCTCAGCCACAATAGGATAAGGTACTATTCAGAATCATAAGATCCCTTTTCCAGGCTCTACCTTTCTGGTGACATTTCTAGACACACACTGGGCCATAAGGGGACCTGCTGCTTTGAAGGAAAGTTGCCCAGTCCTGGCATCATTCGTCACTTGCTAACTGCAGAGCCCTTGGGCCCTAAATAACAAACAGCGACACCCAGGTACTACATCGATGGGCTTGCATGAGTCTTTGAGATGTACTCGCTTCAGATGAGACTCAGCACATTAGCAGCTGTGGTGGTTATGGGGCAAAACTCCTGCTTGAGAAAAACAGATGGAAAAGTGAAGTGGAATTTATCTTGCATCTTAGGTACCAACACAGCCACAGGGGGGAAGAGCACCAAGTGGGTACTTGCAGTACCTGATTCCAGGACTTGACTCTTTGACATTATTTCTGCACCTACCCTGGGCTTGAGGGGATACCATTGCCCTAAAGAGTGAGTCCCAGGCCAGGCAGCATTCACCACAAGCTGAAATAAGAGGCCATGAGCCTTAAGGGAACATCAATGGTAGTCTAGCAGTAGTATTCATGGACTCAGATGGCAGTGGCTATGTGGTGAGGCTCCTCTGCTTTTGAAAAGGGGAGGGAAGAGAAGGAAAAACCGCATCCTGTGGTGTCTTTGCCACCTCAGCTGCAGTACAATAGAACACCAGGTAGCTTTCTAAGTTGTTTGACTCTAGTGGCTTACTACTGGATGGTACCTCTGGACTGAATGGGGTCTGAGAGAACCTGCTGCCACGAAGTGAAAGAAACAGACCTGGCTGGTGTTGCCACTTGTTGCTTGTAGATCCTCAGGGCCTTGGAAACATAAGCAGTAGCCAGGGAGTGGTTACAGCAGACCTTGGGCAAGACTCAGCACTGTGCTTTCTTCAGGTCTGACCCAGCACAGTCATAGTGATGGTGGCCACAGAGGTGCTTGTGGACCCCAGCTTTCAGGGGTCCAGAAAAGAGAGAGACTCTGTGGGATAAAATAAGGCAAAGAACATGAGTCTCTGCCTGGTAGTCCATATAATTCTCTCTGATCTTGTTCGAGACCACAAAGGTGGTACCTCTACAAATCTGCAAGAACTACAGCATTACTCACCCTAAAGCAGTTACAGCTTGGATCACAACACCTAAGTATTTTCAAATATCTGGAAAGCCTTTACAATAAGGACAGTTATAAACAAGGCTTAGACAGTGAAGACTACAATAAATATCTAACTTTTTAATGCCCAGACACTAAAGCACCAACACCATCCAGGAAAACATGACCTCACAAAATGATATAAATAAGGCACCAGGGGCTAATCCTGGAGAAACAGAGATATGTGACCTTTCAGACAGAGAATTCAAAATAGCTGTATTGAGGAAACCCAAAGAAATTGAAGATAACATAGTAAAAGAATTCAGAATTCTATCAGATAAGTTTAAAAAAGAGATGGAAATAATTAAAAGAATCAAGCAGAAATTCTAGATCTGAACAATTTAATTGGCAGACTGAAGAATGCATCAGAGGCTTTTTTATTTGTTAAAAAAATTAAAATAATTTTTTGGGGTACATAATACATGTATATTTATAAGGTACATGAGTTGTTTTGATACACGCATGCAATGTGAAATAAGCACATCATAGATAATGGTATATCCATCCCCACAAGCATTTGTCCTTTGAATTATAAACAATCCAATTTCATTTTTTGTTGCGGAAAGTCAGGGACCCCGAATGGAGGGATGGGCTGGAGCTGCGGCAGAAGAACATAAATTGTGAAGATTTCATGGACATTTATCACTTCCCTAATAATACTCTTATAATTTCTTATGTCTGTCTTTACTTTAATCTCTTAATCCCATTATCTTCGTAAGCAGAGAATGTACGTAGAAAAGAACCTATGTTGAAATATTGGGGACTGGTTCCCCTGAGAATTTTTAAAGTTATTTTAAAATACACAATTAAAATATTAATGATTATAGTCACCCTTTTGTGATATCAAATAGTACATCTTATTCATTCTTTGTATTCTTTTTGTGCCCATAAACCAATCCCACCTCGCCCCTAACCCCCCACTACCCTTACCAGCCTCTGGTAGCCATCCATCTACTCACTATGTACATGAGTTAAATTGATTTGATTTTGATTGATTTGTCTTTCTGTGCCTGGCTTATTTCACTCAACATAATAATCTCCAATTCCATCCATGTTGTTGCAAATAACCAGACCTCATTTTTTAAATATAGCTGAATAGTACTCCATTATGTATACGTTCCACATTTTCTTTACCCATTCATCTGGTGATGGACACTTAGGTTGCTTCCAAATTTTATCTCTTCCAAACACAACAAACATAGGTGTGAGGATATCTCTTTGATATACTAATTTCCATTCTTTGGGGTAATATCCAGAAGTGGGATTGCTAGATCATATGGTAGCTCATTTTTAAGTTTCTTGAGGAACCCCCAAACTATTCTTCATAGTGGCCATATTAATTTACATTTCCACCAACAGTGTACAAGGGTTCCATTCAACTACTTAGTCCGTATCCAAAGGATTTGAAATCAGTATGTTGAAGAAATATCTGCACTCTCATTTTGGCAGCATTATTCACAATAGTAGCCAAGATATAGAATGAATGTAAGTGTTCAGCAGTGGATGAAGAAATAACAAAAATTGGTATATACACACAGTGGAATATTATCCAGCCTTAAAAAAGAAGAAAATCCTGCCCTACGATGGATGAATGGATAAAAGAAAATGTTATATACATACACAATGGGATACTATTCAACCTCACAAAAGGAAGAAATTCAATCACTTGTAACAACATGGATGGAATTGGAGAAGATTATACTAAGTAAAATAATCCAAACACAGGACAACAAATACCACATATTCTCACTTACATGTGGAATTTAAAACAATTGAATTTATAGAAGTAGAGAGTAGAATGTGTGTGAGGGGGCAATGAGGAGATAATAAAGTATACAAAGCCTCCCCATTATATAAGAGGAATGAACTTGATTTCTTTGAGATCTACTGTACAAGAGGTTGAATATAGCTAATAATTGAGTACCGCACATTTCAATATTGATGAGAGTAACTCTCAAATATTCTCATCCCCTATATGTAATTTGCTTCTTTACTTCTGCTGCTTTCAGGACCCTCTCATTGTCCTTGGTTTTCACCGTTTGGATAACATGTCTTGGTGTTCTCTTGCTTAGATTAAATGTTTCTGGAGACTTTTGACCTCCTTGATGTATTTGGATATTTATATTATTCTCTAGATTTGGAAAGTTTCTGCCATTATTTCTTATAATATGCTTTTTACCCATTTATCTCTCTCTTCTCTTTCTTAAAATTCCATAAAATAATTATTTTTTCTTTTGATGATGTCCCATAAATTCCATAGGATTTCTTCTTTTTTATCTCTTCTGACTATATATTGTCAAATAACCTGTCTTTCAGTTCACAGATTCTCACTTCTGGTTGATCAATTCTGCTATCGATGGTGACTATTGAATTTTTTATTTTATTTATTATATTCTTAAGCTACAGAATTTCCTTTGATTCGTAAATAATTTAAATCTACTAAATTTTTGTTACCCTGGTTTTCTTGAATTGTTTCTCTGTGTTATCTGAAATTTCACCATTTTTTTCTTATAACAAAATTATTTTAAATTATTTTTCATGCAGTTCATATGTCTTCATCTCTTTGCAGGTCAGCTACTGAGATATTATTTTGTCTTTACTGTGTTATGTCTCCTTGGTTTCTATTTATTTATTTATTGAAATTGTGTTTTATTTCAGTAGTTTTTAGGGAGCAAGTAGTTTCTGGTTACATGGTTCAATTCTTTAGTGGTGATTTCTGTGATTTTGGTGCACTCATTACCCGAGCAGTGTACACTGTACCCAATGTGTAGTCTTTTATCCCTCACCCTAACCCCACCCTTCACCCTGAGTCCTCAGAGTCCATTATATCATTTCTATGCCTTTGCATCTTTATAGCTTAATTCCCACTTCTAAGGGAGAACATACGATATTTGGGGTTTTCCTTTCCTGAGTTACTTCACTTAGAATAATGGTCTCCAACTCCATCGAGGTTGCAGGAAATGCCATTATTTTATTCCTTTTTATGATTGAGTAGTATTCCATGGTGTATATATACCACATTTTCTTCATCTACTCGTTGGTTAATGGGCATTTAGGTTGGTTACACATTTTTGCAATTGTGAATTGTGCTACTGTAAACATGCATGTGCAAGTGTCTTTTTCATATAATGACTTGTTTTCCTTTGGGTAGATACCCAGTAGTGTGATTGCTGGATTGAATGGTATTTCTACTTTTAGTCCTTTAAGGAATCTGCATACTGTTTTCCATAGTGGTTGTACTAGTTTAGCTTCCCACCTGCAGTGTAAAAGTGTTCCCCTTTCACTGCATCCATGTCAACATCTATTATTTTTTATTTATTTAATTATGACCATTCTTGCAGGAGTAAGGCAATATCTCGTTGTGGTTTTAATTAGCAGTTTTCTGATAATTACTGATGTTGAGCATTTTTTATGTATGTTAGCCATTTGTATATCCTCTTTTGAGAATTGTGTATTCATGTGTCCTTTGACCGCTTTTAATGAGATGATTTGTTTTATTACTGATTCGTTTGAGTTCTTTATAGGTTCTAGATATTAGTCCTTTGTTGGATGCATAGTTTGTGAATATTTTCTCCCACTCTGTGGGTTTTCTGTTTACTCTACCAATTATTTCTTTTGCCTGTACAGATGCTTTTTAGTTTAATTAGGTCCTATTCATTTATTTTTGTTTTTGTTGCATTTGCTTTCAGGTTCTTGGTCATGAATTCTTTTCCTAAGCCAATGTCTAGAAGAGATTTTCTGATGTTATCTTCTATAATTTTTATGGTTTCTGGTATTAGATTTAAGTCTTTAATCCTTCTTGAGTTGATTTTTCTATACAGTGAGAGATGAGGATCCATCTTTTCATTCTTGTACATGTGGCTTGCCAATAACCCCAGCACCATTTGTTGAATAGGTGTCCTTTCTCTATTTTATGCGTTTGTTTGCTTTGTTAAAGATCAGTTGGCTGTCAGTATTTGGCATTATTTCTGGGTTTTCTATTATGTTCCACACTGGTCTATGTGAATATTTTTATACCAGTGTCATGCTGTTTTGTAAATATAGCCTTGTAGTATGGTTTTAAGTCAGGTAAAGTTATGCCTCCAAATTTGTTCTTTTAGCTTAGTATTGCTTTGTCTACGTGGGCTATTTTTATGTTCCATATAAATTTTAGAATTTTTTTCCGTTTCTGTGAAGAATAATGATGGTATTTTTATGGGAATTATATTGAATCTGTAATTTGCTTTTGGCAATACAGTCATTTTCACAATACTGATTCTACCTATCCATGAGCATGGGATGTGTTTCCATTTGTTTGTGTCATCTATGATCTTTTTCAGGAGTGTTTTGTAGTTCTCCTCATAGAAATTTTTTACATCCTTGCTTAACTATATTCCTAAGCATTTTATTTATTTTTTCAGGTGTTGTAAAAGGAATTGAGTTTTTGATTTGATTTTCAGCTTGGTAGTTGTTTGTGTACAGCAGTGCTACTGAATTGTATACATTGATATTGTATCCTGAAGCTTTACTAAATTTATTTATCAGATCTAGGAGATTTTTGGATGAGTCTTCAGGGTTTTCTAGGTATAAAATCAGATTATCAGGGAACATTTACAGTTTGACTTCCTCTTTATCAATTTGGATACCCTTTATTTCTTTCTCTTGTCTGATTGCTCTGGCTACTGCTTCCAGTACTATGTTGAATAGAAGTGGTAAAAGTGGATATACTTTTCTTGTTTCAGTTCTCTGGGGGAATGCTTTCAACTTTTTCCCACACATCATGATGTTGGCTGTGGGTTTGTCACAGATGATTTTTGTTATTTTGGGGTATGTTCCTTCTATGCCTATTTTGCTGGGGGCTTTAATCATAAAGGGATGCTGGATTTTTTCAAATGCTTTTTTTATATCTATTGAGATTATCACATTTTTTAAAAAATTCTGTTTATATGGTGTATCATATTTATTGATTTGTGTATGCTAAACCATCCATGCATCTCTGGTATAAAACCCACTTGATCATGATATATTATCTTTTTGATATGCTGTTGCATTCAGTTAGCTAGTATTTTGTTGAGGATTTTTGCATCAGAGATTGTTCATCAGAGATATTGATCTGTAGTTTTTGTTGTTGTTATATTCTTTCCTGGTTTTGATATTAGGATGATACTGGCTTCATCAAATGATTTATGGAGAGTTACCTCCTTCTCTATTTTTTGAGATTGTTTTAGTGGCACTGGTACCAATTCTTCTTTAAATATCTGATATAATTCAGCTGTGAATTCATCTCGTCTTGTACTTTTTTTAGTTAGTGTTTCAGTCTTGCTATTTGTTATTGGTCTGTTCAGAGTTTCTATTTCTTCTTGATTTAATCTACAAGGATTGTATATTTCCAGGAATTTATCTAGCTCCTCTAGATTTTCTGGTTTCTGTGTGTATAAGTGTTCGTAGTAACCTTGAATAATCTTCTGTATTTCTGTGGTCTTGGTTGTAATAACTCCCATTTTGTTTCTAATTAAGCTTTTTTGGATCTTCTGTCTTCCTTTCTTGGTTAATCTCACTAATGGTCTATAAATTTTGCTTAACTTTTCAAATAACCAGCTTTTTGTTTCATTTATCAGTTGTATTGTTTTGTTTCAATTTTATTTAGTTCTCTGATCTTTGTTATTTGTTTCTGCTTGGTTTGAGTTTTGTTTGTTATTTTTCTCTAGTTCCTTGAGATGTGACATTAGATTGTCTATTTTTGCTCTTTCAGACTTTTTAATGTAGGCATTTAATGCTATGAACTTTTATCTTAGCACTGCTTTTGCTGTATCCCAGAAGTTTGGATAAGTTGTGTCACTATTATCACTCAGTTCAAAGATTTTTTTTAATTTCCATCTTGATTTAATTGTTAACCCAAAGATCATTCAAGAGCAGAGTGTCCAGTGTGTATATGTTTGTATAGTTTTGACTGTTCCATTTGGAATTAATTTCCAGTTTTATTCCACTGTGGTCTGAGAGAATAATTGATATTATTTAAATTTCCTTAAATTTTTTTAAGAGTCATTTTGTGGCCTATTATGAAACAGAAATTCAAAGAAATTAAAGACTGTGTAAGCAAAAACTTAGTTGTATGTAAAAAAGCCCAGTTGCCCTTGAGGGAGAGAAAGGACTGGAGTCCTTTAAAATTAACTGCCTATTTTTCTCTCTGTGGCTAGTGAGCCTTATCTCTCTCTTTCCCAGGCATTGTGAAGACTCTGTTTCTCTAGCTGTGCAGCTGCAAGGTCACTAGACAGATAATCTCAAGTCGTAAAACATGCAGTTCCTTAAAATGTAAGAAATAATGTAATGCATGTTTTAACTGAATAACTGTCTTTGTTTCTCACTTCTGTAATACACTTCCCCCTGCACAGATGGGAAATGGTTAAAACCACGAAATGGTTAAAAGGTAGCTTGACTCTTTGTTTGGGGCTCAGTCCTTTGGATGTTAATCTGACTGGGTTGGTGCACCTAAACAATTAAATAATTCCTCTTCAACCCCTCGGTCTCTCTGATTCCTTAATTATTCTGCAGCAATTATATGGTCTGTTTTGGAGAACAGTTCGTGTGCTAATGAAAAGAATGTAAATTCTGCAGTTGTTGCATAGAATGTTCTGTAAATACATTTTAAGTCCATTTGTTCTAGGGTATAGTTTAGGTCCATTGTTTCTTGTTGACTTTCTGTCTTGAAGATCTGTCTAGTACTATCTGTGGAGTATTGAAGTCCCCCACTATTATTGTGTTGCCATCTGTCTATTTTCTTATGTCTAGTAGTAATTGTTTTATAACTTTGGGACCTCAGAGTGTTAGGTGCATATATATTTAGCATTGTAATATTTTCTTGTTGGACTAATTCTTTTATCATTATATAATGTCCTTCTTTGTCTTCTTTTACTGTTGTTGCTTTAAGTCTGATTTTTTTGTGTGTCTATGTGATATAACAATAGCTACTCCTGCTTGCTTTTGGTTTTCATTTGCATGGAATATCATTTTCCACCCCTTTACATTAAGTTTATTTGAGTCTTTATGTGTTAGTTAAGTCTCTTGAAGACAGCAGATACTTTGTTGGTAGATTTTTATCCATTTTGCCATTCTGTATATTTTAACTGGAGCATTTAGGCCATTTAAATTCAACATTTGTATTAAGATGTGTGGTACTGTTCTATTCATCATGTTAATTATTGCCTAAATATCTTTTTTTTGTAAATTGTGTTATTGTTTTATAGGCCCTGTGAAATTTGTGCTTTAAGGACATTCTGTTTTGCATATTTTGAGGTTTTCTTTCAAGGTTTAGAACTCCTTTTTCTTGCAGTGCTGGTTTGGTAGTGGTAAATTCTCTCCGCATTTGTTTGTCTGAAAAGGATTTATCTATCCATTTATGCAGCTTAGTATTCCTGGGTTAAAAAAAATTTTGGCTGGCAATTATTTTGTTTAAGGAGGCTAAAGATAGGACCCCAATCCCTTCTGGTTTATAAGGTTTCTGCTGAGAAATCAGCTGTTTATCTGATAGATTTTCTTTTATAGGTTACCTAACTCTTTTGTCTCACAACTCTTACGATTATTTTATTTATCTTTACTTTAGATAACCTGATGATTATGTGCCTTGGTGATCTTTTTGTGGTAAACTTCCCAGGAGTTCTTTGAGCTTCTTGTATTTGGATGTCTATATCTCCAGCAAGGCCAGGGAAGTTTTCCTGAATTATTCTCTCAAATAAGTTTTTCAAATGTTTAGATTTTTCTTTTTCCTCAGGAACATCAGTTATTATTAGGTTTGGTTGTTTAACATAATCCCACATTTCTTGGAGGCTTGTTAATTTTTTAAATTCTTTTTTCTTTGTCTTTCTCTGATTGGGTTAATTCAAAATCCTTATCATTGAGCTCTGAATTTCTTTCCTCTACTTGTTCTAGTCTATTGTTGAAACTTTCCACTGCATTTTGTATTTCTCTGAATGGCTCTTTTATTTCCAGAAGTTGTAATTGTTTTTTCTTTATGATATCCATTTATCTGAAAAATTTTTCATCCATATCTGTATTTTTAAAAATGTCTTTTGTGTTGTTTTTCACCTTTCTCTAGTATCTCCATGATTAGCTTAATAATCAACCTTCTGAATTCTTTATTTGGCAATCCAGATTTCTTTTTGGTTTTCGTTTATTGCTGGGGAGCCAGTGTGATTTTTGTGGTTGTTATAGAGCCCTGTTTTGTCATGTTGCCAGAATGACTTTTATGATTCCTTCTCATTTGGGCAGACTATTACTTAAAATTGTTTTTGAATTTATTTTTTATTAGACAGTGTTTTTTACATTTAATTTTTTTCTTCTCTCTTAAGGATCAGACTTTAATGTTTGTTTTAGCTTAATTTTAATTCTTGGTGCTTGTAGTGGTGAAGACTCTGAATGAGATCCTTAGTTATAGAAAGTCTTTGTGCACTGGCTTTCTCTGATGATGGTTGTAGTAGTAATATTCTTGGGGTGTGGGTGATTTCACTGTTTCTTTTTTTTTTTCTCTTTTATTTTTTATTTTTTTATTTTTATTTTTTATTGATCATTCTTGGGTGTTTCTCACAGAGGGGGATTTGGCAGGGTCATAGGACAATAGTGGAGGGAAGGTCAGCAGATAAACAAGTGAACAAAGGTCTCTGGTTTTCCTAGGCAGAGGACCCTGCGACCTTCTGCAGTGTTTGTGTCCCTGGGTACTTGAGATTAGGGAGTGGTGATGACTCTTAACGAGCATGCTGCCCTCAAGCATCTGTTCAACAAAGCACATCTTGCACCGCCCTTAATCCATCTAACCCTGAGTGGACACAGCACATGTTTCAGAGAGTACCGGGCTGGGGGCGAGGTCACAGATCAACAGCATCCCAAGGCAGAAGAATTCCTCCCAGCACAGAACAAAATGGAGTCTCCCATGTCTACTTCTTTCTACACAGACACAGCAACAGTCTGATTTCTCTATCTTTTCCCCACATTTCCCCCTTTTCTACTCGACAAAACCGCCATCGTCATCATGGCCCGTTCTCAATGAGCTGTTGGGTACACCTCCCAGACGGGGTGGTGGCCGGGCAGAGGGGCTCCTCACTTCCCAGAAGGGGCGGCTGGGCAGAGGCGCCCCGGGCGGAGGCGCCCCCTACCTCCCTCCCGGACGGGGAGGCTGGCTGGGTGGGGGCTGCCCCCCACCTCCCTCCCAGACGGGGTGGCTGGCCGGGCAGGGGCTGCCCCCCGCCTCCCTCCCGGACGGGGCGGCTGCCAGGCGGAGATGCTCCTCACTTCCCAGATGGGGCGGCTGCCGGGCAGAAGGGCTCCTCACTTCTCAGACGGGGCGGCTGCTGGGCGGAGGGGCTCCTCACTTCTCAGACGGGGCGGCTGCTGGGCAGAGGGGCTCCTCACCTCCCAGACGGGGTCGCGGCCGGGCAGAGGCGCTCCTCACATCCCAGACGGGGTAGCGGGTCAGAGGCGCTCCCCACATCTCAGACGATGGGCGGCCGGGCAGAAACGCTTCTCACTTCCTAGATGGGATGGCGGCCAGGAAGAGGCGCTCCTCACTTCCCAGACTGGGCAGCCGGGCAGAGGGGCTCCTTATGGAGTTGGAATGGCAGGGATCCCTTGAAGCTTATCTTGTTTCCTTATGGTGTACACTTTGTGTGTTTATTTATTTTTTCCTGGTGTTTTATTTACTGAGTTGATAATTCAGGCTTCAGATGAATAGGGGAGGTATCCCTGGGTAGGCACAGGTTGTGGCAAAGGTAGGTGGGTAGATGTAACACCCAAAGTTGGGCTGAGATCCCAGTCTTGATAAAGGTGGCTGGGGGAGCTCTCAATTAGATGAGCTAAGGTTTCATCAGGGTGAAGAAAGAGAGCTACCTCAGCCCCCATGCCAGGTCAGCAGTAAAGCTGTTCACTTAACAGCTCTACTCCTGTCCTAGAGTTTCAGCTATTGAGATCACACAGACATCTCATTTCATCTATACGAATGTTGATGTTCCACATAGAGAGGAATTGTGACTCTGCCTCTCATGCAGGCCTGAATCTAAGGTGTGCTCTTCCTGTGGGGCTGCACTCACCTTGAATTTTTTTCAGAAAGGTTGTCTACAGGTGCCTCCAGGCTGCATTTCTGAGGGGAAAGCCCAAGCTGTGTCTGTGGCAGAGCAGAGGGGGGACCAACGATCCTTTCTCCAAGGCTCTTCATGATCAAAGAGGCTGCCTCCCTGTTGGTGTACAGGTGCAGACTTCTCCTACTACACCCAGCACTGTAATTGTGTCTCTGCTATGAGAAACTACTCACCAGTGAAAAAATCTGAAACTCAAAGCCTGCTATTTTTTTTTCTAGGAGGCTAGATTCTTTTTTCCCATGTGTGATCCCTTGCTGTAGTGCTCTTCCCCTTCCCCTAGGGATGGGGCTTCCTGAGAACCAGACTGCAGTGATTGTTATTGCTCTTCTGGTTCTAGCCACCCAGCAGGGCTACCAGGCTCTGGGTTGGTGTTGGAGAATGTCTGCAAAGAGTCCAGTGATGTGATCAGTCTTCAGGTCTCCCAGTCATTGATAACAGCATCTGCTCTGGTGGTGGTGACGGGAGTGATGGAGACTGTGAGAATCCTTGGTTTTAGATAGGTTTAGTGTGCTGGCTTTCTCAAATGCTGGTTATGCTAGCAGTTAAGTTGTCACATGGGCAGACTCGGAACCTCTGGTTAGCCAGGATGTTGCAGGCAGTGATATTAGCTATTGTTTTCTCCTTCCTGGGAGCAGTGTTATTCTGTCAGGGGTTGCTGTAATGGCCTGAATTGGTTGGCCTCCTAACAGGAGGTGGCACTTTTAAAAGAACACCAGCAGCAGTAGTAGAAGGGGGATATAATCTTGCCCTACATTGGCAAGGAAGAGTACTCGGGTTTCTCGAATGATGGGTGGGGCCATAAAGCTCCCAAGAATGTATGTCTTTTGTTTTCAGCTACCAGGGCAGGCAGAGAAATACTATCAGGTGGGGGCAGGGTTAGGAAGGTCTGGGCTCAGACTCTCCTTGGACGGGGCTTGCTATAGCCACTGTTCAGGATGGAAGGTGGTCCTTAGGCCGTTGGGATTATTTTCCATATGGGATTATGGCTGCCTCTGCTGTGCAGTATAGTTCACCAGGGAAGCGGGGGATAGCTGGTAGCAAAAGGCCTCACCCAACTCCCATGCAGTTGGTGAGGCTGGTCTTGTTCCTGCAGTGCCCCACTAACAGCACCAATTTTAGGTACAGGCAGCTTGTGCACAGAACTCATACCTGTGCCATGCCATTACCTTTCCCACTGACAGAGCAAGCATATCTTTCAGGCCACACCCTCTCCCATCTGCCCACAATGCTAGTGGCTTCCACACTTATATCTGCAGCAGTTCCTGTTCACCCCCCAGATTCTGCCAAGGAACTTTGTGTCCAGTTGAAATTATCACAAAATTCAGTTGGAAACTTCTTTCATTCTGTGACCCCCCTCCCTAATTCCAATGGCTGCCTTCCCCGAGCGTCTTGTGAGAATTTAATTATGAATGGTTTCCTTGGGCTCCAGCTCGAGATTGGGAGTGCCTACAAGGCTCTTCCTGCTGCTGCTTTTACTTTTTTTTTTTTTTTCTGAGATGGAGTTTCACTCTGTCACCCAGGCTGGAGTGCAATGGCGCAATCTCCACTCACTGCAACCTCTGTCTCCCGGGTTCAAGCAATTCTCCTGTCTCAGCCTCCCAAGTAGCTGGGATTACATGCATGCACCACCACACCCTGCTAATTTTGTATTTCTAGTAGAGACAGGGTTTCAACCATGTTGGTCAGGCTGGTCTCAAATTCCTGACCTCAGATGATCTGCCCACCTCAGCCACTCAAAGTGCTGGGATTATAGGTGTGAGCCACCAGGCCCTGCCTGCTTTTACTTTTGTATTTTGCTCAGCTCCCTAAATCCGGTCTACTTCTAGATAAGGTTAAATTCTTTGCCCATGATCTGGATTTTCAGATTTCCTAGTGGGCATGTGTACATGGAGGCAGGATTTCCTCCTCTCACGCTTTGGGTACTCAGAGCTTTTTGCCTGTCTCATGGAGTTTGCAGCAGTATGTCACTACTTTCATAGGATCTGTAAACTTTTTTAGTTTTCCTGGTGTGTTCCTGTAATGGTTCTTGGAAAAGAAGTTCACAGTGTAAGTCAGAAACATTTATCATATCATAGTTTTTGCAGAACAGGATCCAGACATGGCTCACATTTTTTCTTTATCTCAATATTTCTCAGGAGGCTGGGGCTGTGGTCTCAACTGAAGCTTGACTGGTGCAGCATCTGCTTCTGCACTTATATATGAATTATTGGCAGGATTCAGTTTGGACTGATTGTCTCAGGCTGGAGCTCCTGTTGATTCTTTGTCATTAGGGCCTTTCCATTTAGCAGCTCCTAATAATTCAACTTGCTTCCCTAGTACACAGATTTTTTTCACTGAAACATTTAACAAACCAATGCAATGGGATCTGAATATCCAGCTGTGACTATTGAGAACTGGCTAACACTGGTGAGTGTAGGCTTCAGCAGGAAGAACCATTAGCCACAGGGTGCTGTGCTTAGTATCCTTCCATTTTTCTACCTGGCTGTCAGCTTGTCAAGAGTCTCCTTGGTTTTTAAATATTCTTTTTCCCTTATGTTTAATGTCGGCACATTTTCTGGAGTATTCTCCTCTTGCAGACACTATGGTTCAGCTTTGTTGTGAAAAACAAAAACCTCTATGTGGTGGTGCAAGGGTGCAAACTGGATGGGGTGCAGTGATTCTAACAACAGTGAGGGTGTAGCTCTGTCAACTTTGCACAGCTATGTCAGCTGATACTGGTATTGATGAAGACTGCAGGTATCCTCAGCTGCCAATACTGTCCATGGTGGCAGCAAGGGTTGTTGTGGTCTTTGGTGGCAATGCCTTTTATATTCTTCCTGATCTCTCTTTCTCTCTCGTGGGAAGTTTTGGCTGAGGGGATTCCTTTTAACAATGGATCTGGCTTATGAGCTCTCTCATCGTGATGGTTTCATTGGGGTCTGTTGAGTGGTACTATGGAACAGCTGTGGAGCTGAGGTCTGAAGCATGAACCTGTTTGAAGGGACTACGGTTCTGTGATTTGAGGTGGTAATGGCACTGTTGCCCGTGTTGGTGGCACCCCAGTGCCATAGTGCTAAAAGCATGTGAGTCATAGATGCTTATGAAGTAGCCAGGAAAACAGAGTGAGAGTACAGGTGTACACAGAGTTTAGAACAGCTCTAGTGTCAGAACAGAGCCTAACTCTCTGTGGTCACTGAGCTGGTGTCCAGGTTGCAAGCCGCTCTATCACTGTGTTGGTAAAAGCTTGCAAAGCATTAAGACAGCAAGCCAAAAATGGGAGCACAGAAAATTGGCTGTGGAGGCTGGAAGTGGCCTGGTCTTCTATAGTGGCTGAGCCAGTACTAGACCTCAGGAATACACAGCAAGGTCTGACTTTGGGATATGGAGTGTAAACTAGGTGACTATGCTGATGGCTCTAGTGTCTGAAACATGAGAGAGTCTAGTGCAGTTAGAGAACCTGGATATGGACTGCAGGTACTTGTGGGTCAGCCGCAACTCTAGGACTGGGGCACATGCAAGGTCGAGAAAGGTGGATACTATTTTCCCAAAGGAACTGAACAATGGATGCTTTTTGAGCTGAGGAGAAGTGTATAACCATATCTCCTCCGGTGTTCCCTGTTGGGAATGGCTGTTGGTTACTTCAGTGGTAAGAGATGCTAGTATCCTCTGTGGAGAAGGCTACCGGGGACCATGGTGTTTCCTACAGTGTGGCTGACACCAATATCCTCCATCTTTCCTCTGTTCCTAGCCATCTCTTCACATCTCAGGTATGTTGATCTAACTGGAGATCCTTTCTAATTGGATATTCTTCATTTTATTTGCTCCAGTGTGTTGCTGCAGATTCTTTAATGGGCCCTCCGGCCCTCTCTGGGCTAATTTGAATTAGAATGGTTATCTATATTAGTTGTTTTTATTGGGGAATGAAGGCATGTATCTCCTTCTCTGCCATCTTGGTAATGTCACGCTATTAAAATAACATTAACTAATTTGTGTTTGTTAATACAGCTTCCTTAACTGACTTAAATATATTAGTTTCCAAACACTTCCCAAAATCGTGTTTATCCTTCTTTGCTCTTTAGAGTAAGCTACTCAAATGCCCATCCTTCTCTCAAAGATGTTTGTTTCTTAATATACAGAGTGTTGATGAAAGTGTCAAATAATACTGAACCAAGTTCATATTGAGCAATATCATTTATACAACCAAGTACATACACAGATTATATGTTCTCTTCTATTGATCCAATATTCTAATGATTAAGCGCCAATTATGGAGGGGTAAAGGAGGTATTATAAAAATGTCGAATAAAGATAAAAAATTAAATGGTAAATTAATTAGATGAAGGAAAATAGTGAGAGCTGTAACAGTGGGGCACAGACTGGGTGGAAATCACTTTCTTCCCCCATTCCTCTTTATTTAACTTATCATAAATTTGGGTTACAGGAGTTTTAGTATTAGGTTGATGCAAAAATAATTGCCAATTGTGCAATTACTTTTAATGGCAACAAAAAGAGAATCAAACTGAAAAGGCTGAAGTTATTGAGGATTGTGTGTCTAAACCATTGACTTTAAGGGCACCTTTGATTATGAAGAACTAGATGGGTCAGCGAAAATTAAGTCCCAGGGAGAGAAATAAGTTAGTGAGAGACTTATAATTTGTTCTAGGCTTGGCATAAGGAAGTAAAAAGGGTCTTCAGGTTCCTTTGAAGGACACAATGTATATAAGACTTATTTGTTCACTAATTAATTTAACACATACCAATATTTACTGTTTACTGTATAAAAAACATTTTGTTTGAGTAATTAGGAGACAGATATAACTAAAATGACACACAACTTAAAGATTTATGCACAAAGGAAGCAAGATTGCAACTGATTCCAAATGAAGAGAGTTTTTTTTTTATGGTAAATTACGTAAAAGTCCAACAGCACTTTTGACCTCATTTACATTTGATGATGGTAAAAAGCAAGAGTAACATTTTTACACTTAAAAATCCACACAATGATACATATTAGTATAGTATAGCATCTTTTCATTCAGCTTGTACATTCTCTTCTATAATCAAAACACAAGTTGTATCTATTTTTATAAGATGGGCTATTTTCCAGAATGATCTGCTAATGTCCAAGGTGAACTAAAAGCTTAAAAAACATTGTTTAATTTTAGTTACAGTGACTATCCTTTTGTTTTCCTGAGTGGAAAACCAGATGTCATGAAATAAAAGATATTTCTGTGATTCTGAGGAGGCAAACATGGACCTACAGCATATTTTTTTAACTTATATTTTAAGTTCAGGGATACATGAGCAGGTTTGTTATATAGGCAAGCCCATGTCATGGAGGTTTGTTGTACAGATTATTTTGTCATCTAGATATTAAGCCTAGTACCCATTACTTATTTTTTTTTCCTGATTCCCTCTTTCCATCCTGCACCCTCCACTATGCCCCAGTATCTGTTGTTCCCCTCTATGTGTTCATGTGTTCTCATCATTTAGCTCTCACTTATAAGTGAGAACATGTGGTATTTGGTTTTCTGTTCCTGTGTTAGTTTGCTAAAAATAATGGCCACCAGATCCATGCATGTTCCTGCAAACAACGTGATCTTATTCTTATTAATGGCTGCATAATATTCCATGGTGTATATATACAACATTTTCTTTATCCAGTCTACTATCAATGGACATTTAGGTTGATTCTATGTCTTTGCTATTGTGAATAGTGCAGCAAAGAACATATACATGAGTGTTTATGATAGAATGATTTATATTCCTTTGGGTATATACCCAGTAATGGGTTTGCTAGGTCAAATTATAGTTTTCTTTTTACCTCTTTAAGGAATTGCCACACTGCTTTTCACAATGGTCAAACTAATTTACACTCTGACCAACAGTGTATAAGCATTACTTTTTCTCCACAACCTCACCACCATCCGTTAATTTTTGACTTTTTAATAATAGCCATTCTGACTGGTGTAAGATGGCTTCTCATTGTGGTTTGGATTTGTATTTCTATATTAATCCATGATGTGGAGCTTTTCTTCATATACTTTTTGACTGTATGTATGCTTTCTTTTGAAAAGTGTCTGTTCATGTCCTTTGCCCACTTTTTAATGAAGTATTTTTTCTTGAAAATTTGTTTTAATTCCCTATATGTACTAGATATTAGGCCTTTCTCAGATGCAGTTTGTGAAAATTTTCTCCCATTCTGGAGGTTGCCTGTTTACTCTACTGATTATTTATTTTCCTGTGCAGAGCTCTTTTGTTTAATTATATCCTATTTGTCAGTTTTTGCTTCTGTTACAATTGCTACTGGTGTCTTACGCATAAATATTTTGCCCTTTCCTATGTACAGAATGGTATTGCCTAGGTTGTCTTCCAGGGTTTTTATAGTATTGGGTTTTGCATTTAAGTCTTGAATCCATCTGTAATTGATCTTTGTATATAGTATAAGAGAGGGGTCCAGTTTCAGTCTTCCACATATGGCTAGGCAGTTATACCAGCACCATTTATTAAATAGGAACTCCTTTCCTCATTGCCTAATTTTGTCAGCTTTGTTAAAGATCAGATGGTCGTGGCTGTGTGGTCTTATTTCTGGGCTCTCTATTCAGTTCCTTTAGTCTATGTGTCTTTTTTTGTAGCAGTACCATGCTACTTTGTTTACAGTAGTCCCATAGTAAAGTTTGAAGTTGGGTAGTGGTAGTGTGATTCCTTCAGCTTTGTGTTTTTTTGCCTAGGATTGCCTTGGCTATTCAGGCTCTTTTTGGTTCCATATGAATTTTAAAATAGATTTGTCTAGTTCTGTGAGGAATGTCATTGGTAATTTGATAGAAGTAGCATTGATTCTATAGATGGCTTGGGGCAGCATGGCCATTTTAATAATGTTGATTCTTTCTATCAATGAGCACGGAATGTTTTTTCCATTTGTATGTGTCATCTCTGATTTCTTTGAGCAGTGTTTTGTAGTTCTTATTGTAGGGATCTTGCACCTTCTTGGTTATTTGTATACCTAGGTATTTTATTCTTTTTTGAGGCTATTGTGTATGGGATTGCATTCCTGATGTGGCTTTCAGCTTGAATTTGTGGGTATAGAAATGCTAGTAGTTTTTGTATGTTGATTTTGTATCCTGAGAATTTGCTGAAGTTGTTTTTCAGCTGAAGGAGCTTTTGGGGTAAGACTATGGGGTCTTCTAGATATAGAATTATGTTGTCTTTTTATTTATTTCTCTTGCTTGATTTCTCTGGCCAGGACTTCCAATAGTACGTTGAATAGGAGTAGTGTGAGAGGACATCCTTGTCTTGTGCTGGTTTTTAAGTTTGATGTTGGCTGTGTGTTTGTCATAGATGGCTCTTATTATTTTGAGGTGTGTTCCTTCATTACGTAGTTTATTGAGGGTTTTTAACTTGAATCAGTGTTAAATTTTTTCAAAAGCCTTTTCTGCCTCTATTGAGATAATCATGTGGATATTGTCTTCAGTTCTGTTTCTGTAATGAATCACATTTAATGATTTGCATATGTTAAATGAACTTTTCATCCTAAAGACAAAGCCTACTTGATTGTGGTAGGTTAGCTTTTTGGTGTGCTATTGGATTTGGTTTGCTAGTATTTTGTTGATAATTTTTGCGTTGATGTTCATCAAGGATATTGGCCTGAAGTTTTCTTTTTTGCTGTATCTCTGCCAGGTTATGTATCAGAATAATGTTGGCCTCATAGAATGAGTTAGAGATGAGTATCTCCTCCTCAATTTTTTCGGAATAGTTTCAGTAGAAATGGTAATAGCTCTTCTTTGTACTTCTGGAAAATTTAGGCTATGAATCTGTCTTGTCCTTGGCTTTTTTTGGTTGGTAGTCGACTTATTACTGATTCAATTTCAGAGCTTGCTATTGGTCTGTCCACGGATTCAGTTTCTTTCTGGTTCAGTCTTAGGAGGGTGTATGTGTCCAGGAATTTGTTCATTTCTTCCAGATTTTCCAGTTTGTGTGCATATAGGTGCTCATAATAGTCTCTGATGGTTGTTTGAATTTCTGTGGGGTCACTGGTAATATCCCATTTGTTGTTTCTAATTGTCTTTATTTGCATCTTCCCTCTTTTCCTCTTATTACTCTAGCTAGGAGTCTATGTGTATTATTAAGTTTTTCAAAAAGAAAACTCCTGGATCTATTGATTGAATGGCTTTTCATGTCTCAATCTCTTTAAGTTCAGCTCTGACTTTGGTGATTTCTTGTCTTCTGCTAGCTTTGGGGTTGGTTTGCTCTTGGTTCTCTAGTTCTTATAGTTGGGATGTTAGGTTGTTTCTATTTTATTTTATTTTTGTGACAGAGTATCACTCTGTTACCCAGGCTGGAGTATAGTGGCGCAGTCTCGGCTCACTGCAACCTGTGTCTCCTGGGTTAAAGCTATTCTCCTGTCTCAGCTTCCTGAGTGACTAGGATTACAGACGCACACCACCATGCCTGGCTATATTTTTGTATTTTTAGTAGAGATGGGATTTCACCATGTTGGTCAGGCTGGTCTTGAACTCGTGACCTAAAGTGATCCACCCACCTCGGCCTCCAAAAGTGCTGTTATTACAGGCATGAGCCATGATGCCTGGCCATTAGGTTGTTAAATTGAGATCTTTTTAAGTTTTTGATGTTGGCATTTAATGCCATAAACTTTCCTCTTATCACTGCCATAGCTGTATCCTAGAGATTCTGGTATATTATGTCTTTGTTCTCACTAGTTTCAAAGAAATACTTTATTTGTGCCTTAATTGCATTATTTACCCAAAGTTACTCAGGAGCAGTTCATTCAATTTCCATGTAATTGTTTGGTTTTGAGCTATTTTCTTAGTCTTGAATTCTATTTTTATTGTGCTGTCATTCGACAGAGTGGTTTTTAATAATTTCAGTTCTTTTGCGTTGAAGAGTGTTTTATGTTTGTTTATATGATCAATTTTAGAGTATGTCCCATGGGGTAATGGAAAAAAATGTATATTCTATTGTTTTGGGGTGGAGAGTTTATAGGCATCTTATCAGGTCCATTTGATCTGCTGCTGAGTTTTTCCTAATTATGTTTATTCCTTTTTTTGCCTCAATGATCTGTCTGATATTTTATGTTAAATTCTCCCACTATTATTGGGTGGGAGCCTAAGTCTCTTGGATGGTCTCTAAGAAGTTTCTTTATGAGTCTGGGTACTCCTTTATAAGTGTGTACATATTTGGGATAGTTAAGTCTTCTTGTTGAATTAAACCCCTTGCCATTATGTAATAATGCCCTTGTCTTTTTTGATCTTTGTTGGTCTAAAGTCTGTTTTGTCTGAAATTATTATTATAACACCTGCCTTTTTCTGTTTTCCATTTGCTTGGTAGGTTTTTTTCCATCCCTTTATTTTGAGAATATAGATGCCATTGCATGTGTAATGGGTCTCTTGAAGTCAGCATACCATCAGATCTTGGTTCTTTATTCAGCTTGACACGATGTGCCTTCTAATTGGGGACATTTATCCCTTTTACATTCAAAGTTAATATTGTAATGTGTGAAATTGATCCTGTCATCATGATGTTAGCTGGTTATTATGCGGACTTGCTTGTGTGGTTGCTTTATAGTGTCACTCTTCTGTGTACCTAAGTGTGTTTTTGTAGTGGCTAGTAACAATCTTTTCTTTCCATATTTAGTGCTTCTTTCAGGAGCTCTTTTAAGGCAGCTCTGGTGGTAATGAATTCCCTCAGAATTTGCTTGTCTGAAAAGAATATTATTTCTTCTCTTATGAAATTTAGTTTAGCTGGATATGAACTTCTTTTCTTTAACAATGTTGAATATTGGTGCCCTATCTTTTCTGGCTTATAGGGTTTCTATTCAGAGGTCCATTGTTAGTCTGATGTAGGCCCCCAGGACACGTCAGTCTGCACTGCTAGCAGGCACAGTCGGGCTGAGGCCCTGGGAGAGGGCAGCAGACCAAGAGATACTCAGGTCAGACTGGCCCCATCTGATGGCAAGACAGTCCTTCAGAGTTTAGTTCCAGATAGTTCCCCTGTGGCTAAAGTCTTCTCTGGGAGCAAGTGGCATTTAGCAGGGATGAGTGATCCTGGCTGTGCTCCACTACAGACACTTTCACACCAAACTCTCTGGGCTCCACATTGGCAGCCTTGCTGTCCTTACCAATTCTCTAAGCAGCTCTCCCTGCCAACTCAAGTGTCCACAGTGGTTGAGGGGTCTCCTATGCCAGGATTTCATAGGCTCATGATGAAAGTGTGTTGTTTCTTGACAGTTCAACTCACCTGTTCCCCCAGAGTCACTAGGAGCTAGGAACAAGTCCTGGTGCATGGTGGTCGTACACAGGGTTCCCAGCTTCCTCCTGCTTTAGCCCAGCTTCTGTGTCTTCCCTCTGTCCACTGTCGGTGCTTTACCTCTGAAGATCCATTAGAAGTTCACCAGTTGTTCTTGTTCCTTGTTTCACCTGGCTGTCAGTCATCTGACAGTACATTTCCATGGCTTATCGACATTACAATCAACAGAAAGTTTGATTATTTAGAAAGTAGAGTTTAGGGAAGTTTGAGGTATTTTGTCAACTGTAAGGGTTTACCTGCATAATTTATCTCAAATGTATTCTCTATATTATAAACAACAGCTGATAGCTTCAGAGAATTGTAGAGTGATTTACCTACGTTTTCATTTACATTAGCTACTGATTGGATGCTAAGGCTGGATGATGGCATCTGTTTAATAATACATCAGTTTAAAAATATATGGGAATCACAGAACTTTATACTGGAGTAATATTGGAGAAAATAGATTATGTGACTTGTCCAAGATCACACAGCTAGTTAATGTTTGATATAGAATTAATTAATTTTGGCTGGGCTCACACCTGTAATCCCAGCATTTTGGGAGGCCTAGGCAGGTGGATCACATGAGGTCAGGAGTTTGAGACTAGCCTGGCCAACACGGTGAAACCCTGTCTCTACTAAAAACACAAAAAAATTAGCCGGGCGTGGTGGCAGGTGCCTCTAAACCCAGCTACTCGGGAAGCTGAGGCAGGGGAATAGCTTGAACCTGGAAGGTGGAGGTTGCAGTGAGCCGAGATCAGACCATTGCACTCCAGCCTGGGCAACAAGAGCGAAAACATATCTCCAAAAAAATTAATAATTTTTAATTACTTCATTTGCTATGCAACTATATTTACAATGTGTACATTTCCCAAACCTTTGAAATTATACTTTGCTTGTTAATTAGTTTGGCCCACACATACAACAGAAAATCAAACTACACTTCAATCTCTGCTAGAACTGAAAGTCAGAATTTCTATATTTGGCCCCAATGTCTGTTGAGAGTTTACAAATTGCTCATTTACTGTGTGCCCTTGACAATTTTCTTTCCTTTTTGAGGGGAGATGGAGTGTCACTCTGTCACCCAGGCTGGAGTGCAGTGGTGTGATCTTGGGTCACTGCAACCTCCACCTTCTGGGTTCAAGTAATTCTCCTGCCTCAGCCTCCCAAGTAGCTGGGACTACAGGCACACACCACCATGCCTGGCTAATTTTTTGTATTTTACTATAGATGGGGTTTCACCGTGTTGCCCAGGCTGGTCTCAAACTCCTGAGCTCAGGCAATCCACCCGCCTTGACCTCTTAAAATGCTGGGATTAAGGAGTGAGCCACCGCACCCTGCTGACAATTTCCTGCATATGTTAATATCTCAGATATCTCCCTGTCTTGTGTTCTGTGTACTTTCCTTTTGATTTACTTTATTTTTTTTCTCCTTCAGATATCAAGACTAAACCACATAAACAAAATATCTGTAATTTGTAGAATAAAGAATAAGAATTATGCTGCTTCTAATTAAGATATTTTATTGTGAAGATTCTTCCTCTTTTAAAAATTAGCATAATCTTAGAGCATTGAATGAATAACATTATTTCTAATTCCTAGAAATACATTACAAATAAAATAAGCTAGGGTGTCTCAAGAATAAGCTTAATATTCAGAAACGTTAAGATTATTTCTAGAACAATAGCTAAGGAAAATGTCCTGATATTCAAATGACATAAAATGTGCTTGGTGAAATGGAAGCACTTTCCTTTCCCTTCTCTCACCCTTGTCTCTCTCTCCATGCTGTGTTTATACTAAGTTCAAGAATAGAACTATCAGCTGTAGCTTGTAACCTACATATAGCTGTCAGTGCCAGCACTTTCTCTGAACCTGTCTTTACACACAAAAATAGAAGTGTACAATGTAGTTGAAAATTTTAAACATGATTTTATTATTATAATGTCGTAAAATAATTAGTTTCAATTTACCTTTAAGCATATGCTATTTAGACCATTGCCTTAATTAATCCATGAAGGAGAGCTTTTTTATTTGTGCTATTTAAGGCTTATTTTCTAACTGTAGGCTTTGGCCTACTTTTTTACATGTATTTTAATTTTTTTAAACCAAAACTTGTACATTGTTTTTCAAAACTAATACAGAAAATTGCTCTGTATTTTGATTGTGGTATAAGATGGTTTAGTTGGCTGGCTTCATTTCTAGGATATTTTAATCATCCAAGTTTCAGCTCCCAACTTCTGTACTGTGTGTTTTAACTCTGGGGGACTGGTATCAGATCTCAATTTTGTTCTTTGGCTCTATTTACTATCTCGTCAGAATATATCCTCTGAGTCAAAGCTACGAAATAACCATAAGTTTTTATTTTATTAATATATTGAAAATTAAAGTATAGAATGTATGTTAAGAAAATAAGAACTCTATAGTCATAATTGGAGTTTTTTAAGAAAATGACAGAATAAACAGACAAAAGTAATCAAGACAATAGAAGTGAATAACATAGGTAATCAGATTAATTTGATAAAGATCAATTCCTCTGAACACATTACAAAGTGCACATTATGCTCTAACATGCAAAGAACATTAATAAAATGTAACCATGTTCAAAGACACATAGGAAACTGGAAATAAAATACAAAGAAGAGGGTAAATAAACTGTCCAGTGTAAAATTGAAAACAAATAATAAAAAAACCCACACGCTGGCATATACTGCCTGAATTAGAAATAACAATTTTAAATGCAGATGGTAGAAACAAATTATAGTGAAGACATTATATATCACAATGTATGGAATGTAGCCAAAATGACATTCAGATAAATTTTTAGTCTTGAACCAATGTATTAGAGAACAAGAAGAAATAAAAATGAATGAACTAAGCATTCAAGTCAACAATTCTTAAAAAGAATTACAAAATAACCTCTGACAAAGCTAAAGAAACACATTAATAAAGAATCAAGTGGCTGGACATTGTTGCTCACACCTGTAATCCCAGCACATTGGGATGACGAGGCAGGCAGGATCACTTGAGGCCAGGAGTTCGAGACCACCCTGGCCAACATGACAAAACCCCATCTCTACTAAAAATACAAAAATTAGCCGGACGTTGTGGTGTAAGCCTGTAATCCCAGCTACTCAGGAGGCTGAGGCAGGAGAATCGCTTAAACCTGGGAGTTGAAGGTTGCGCTTCACTCCAACCTGGACCACAGAGTGAGACTCCATTAAAAAAATAAGAAGAAGAATAAAACATGAACGAAAAAAGTCAAAGTGTACAAAGTGGTTAAATATTTTTAGCATGATTTTATTATTTTAATGTTATAAAATAATTAGTTTCAATTTACTTTTAAGCTTATGCAATTTGTAGACCACTGCCTTGATTGATCCATAATCATACCAAGGCTTGAATAGTTCTTTACTGAGCATTGCCCCACCCCTGGAGAACTTCCATGGGAAAGAAAAACAAAAAGTAAAATTATCAATAAAATCAAAAGCCATTTCTTTCATAAAACATTAAACTATTGTCATATCTGATCAAAACAAAGAAAAGAAAAAAACACAAATAAGTAACTTTATGATTGAGGAAGTAATCAAATTAAAAATAATGTAAAATTATTAAAGAATAATATATGCATCTTTAAACCAACATATTTAAAACTAAATAGATTTGTGGGTATAGCAATGGAGACATAGTTATATAGGTAACAGTATAAAAAGGTCTGGAAGTCTTGTATACCAAAATGTTAACAGTGATTATTTGAAGGAAGGGCAATGGGTGTTGGAGGGGAAATGAAAACTAATCTCAGTTCTTCTATGGTACTGAGAAAAAAATGCATATGAACATATAGTCATATATTGCTTATACCCATTTTTTATTAAAATAACAAAGATAAATAATATTATGTTATTTTGTAGACAATATTTGTCAGATGTTGGCACTTAAGAAAACAAAATTACTTCCAGTTTCAGTCCAGCATATAAGGTGTCTAGAAATCATCACATCCATTTTCAAATTAAGTAAAAAGTTGAACAAACTAAAAATCAACAATTTTTTTCTAGATTCATCAGAGAATTGAGGTTACAGGGCAAACTACTCTGCTCCCAAAACTGGAAGCACAGACAAGCAGGTAAAAAGAATCACAACGTACTGGAGCTGAAGCTGAGGAGAAGAAACATTATCCTCTCCTAAAGTTACTTATTTGTGTTTTTTCTCATCTTTATTTGGATAAGACATGACAATAGTTAATAGTTTAATGTTTTATAAAAGAAATAGCTTTTGATTTTATTGATAATATTTACTTTTTCTTTTTCAACCCCATGGAAATACTCCAGGGGTGTAACAACACTCACGATATATAAAAACCAGTACAAAGATAGGAAAACTTAAACTTTACTTGAATAATTGCTGAATGCTTAGTGTGAACAAGTCTGAGAGTTAAAATTTCCAGGAAGGGTCAAACACTCGTGTGAGTTTTACGTCCTGTAGCCTTACCAGGTTCTCATGGTGAAAATTAGAGAAAAACCTGCTCCTGCTTCACGCCAGAAAAGAAGGAAGTGTATTCATTATGAAATAATGATCAGAGCGTTATGTTCTTACCAAGGTATTCCCTCAAAGGAAACTATTTCACAAGAGTCCAATCTGCTGGAGTTTTACCAGAGCCTAAGTAATCCAGGGGAAGGAAAATACCCATTTTCTGATAATTACAGGCTTCAATATGGAGAAAGGAAACTATCCAAATCTATCCCCCTCTAGAAGCCTTCTTGTCTAATCTAATGGGGGTAGAGAGAATGACTTAGCACACATTCATTAAAAGGTTTAGACCTAATCATAGAACCATAAAATATTCCCCCTCCCCTGACACCTTACTACCGCACCAATGTAACTCCTGAATAATACCAGCAGCACACAACTGAAAGAACTGCACAATTCACACATTAAGAACGCATTATTCACACTTTATTGAAGAGACATAGCTAACATCAGAACCAGATTCAAATATGGCAGACATGTTGGAATTATTAGACCAGAAATGTAAAACCAGTGTGATTAATATGCTAAGAGCTTTAATGGAAAAGCAGGAAAAAAAATCAAGAATAGATGATTAATGCAAGAATTACTTTAAAAACTTAAAAATATCAAAAGGTAATGTTAAAATAAAAAACAATGACAAAGAAATAAATAAATAATGCTTTCTAATTTATGTATTTATTTATATTTTAAGACTGGATCTCTCTATGTTGTCCATGTTAGAGTGCAGCAGTGTGATCATGTCTCACTGTAGCTTCAAACTCCTGGGCTCAAGCAATCATTGTGCCTTAGCCTCCTGAGTAAGTAGGACTACAGGCACATGCAATCATGACTGCCTAATCTAAAAAAGGTTTTTTTGTAGAGATGGAGTATCACTATGTTGCCCAGGCTGCTCTTGGAATCCTGGGCTCAAGAGATCACCTGCCTTGGCCTCCCAAAGTTTTGAGATTACAGGCATGAGCCGTCATACCTGGCAAGAATGCTTTTGATAAACTCATCAACAGAATAGACAGGGCCAAGCAAAAAATTGATGAGTTTGAAAAAATGTAAGTAAAAACGTACAAAACTGAAATGCAAAGAGGAAAAATAATAATAAAAAAACTCACAGCATACTACCCAGGAACTGAGACAATTATAAAGGCTATAACATAAGTGTAATGAGAAAACCGGAAAGAGAGAAGTGAGGAGGAAAGAAGAAAGATGAAGAGAGAGATGAAAAAATAGAGAAGAGCAAGATGGCCAAATAGGAACAGCTCCGGTCTACAGCTCCCAGCGTGAGTGACACAGAAGACGGGTGATTTCTGCATTTCCAACTGAGGTACCAGGTTCATCTCACTGGGGAGTGCCAGACAGTAGGTGCAGGACAGTGGGTGCAGCACACCGTGTGCAAGCCGAAGCAGGACGAGGCATCACCTCACCCGGGAAACGCAAGGGGTCAGGGAATTCCCTTTGCTAGTCAAAGAAAGTGGTGACAGATGGCACCTGGAAAATTGGGTCACTCCCACCCTAATACTGCGCTTTTCCAATGGGCTTAAAAAACGGCACACCAGGAGATTATATCCCACACATGACTCGGAGGGTCCTACACCCACGGAGTCTCAATCATTGCTAGCACAGCAGTCCGAGATCAAACTGCAAGGCAACAGTGAGGCTGGGGGAGGGGCGCCCGCCATTGCCCAGTTAGTTGTTTGATTAGGTAAACAAAGTGGCCGGGAACCTCGAACTGGGTGGAGCCCACCACAGCTCAAGGAGGCCTGCCTGCCTCTGTAGGCTCCACCTCTGGGGTCACGGCACAGACAAATGAAAAGACAGCAGTAACCTCTGCAGACTTAAATGTCCCTCTCTGACAGGTTTGAAGAGAGTAGTGGTTCTCCCAGCACGCAGCTGGAGATCTGAGAATGGGCAGACTGCCTCCTCAAGTGGGTCCCTGATCGCCGAGTAGCCTAACTGGGAGGCACCCCCCAGTAGGGGCGGACTGATACCTCACACGGCTGGGTACTCCTCTGAGACAAAACTTCCAGAGGAACGATCAGGCAGCAGCATCTGTGGTTCACCAAAATCTGCTGTTCTGCAGCCACCGCTGCTGATACCCAGACAAACAGGGTCAGAAGTGGACCTCTAGCAAACTCCAACAGACCTGCAACTGAGGGTCCTGTCTGTTAGAAGGAAAACTAACAAACAGAAAGGACATCCACACCAAAAACCCATCTGTACGTCACCATCATCAAAGACCAAAGGTAGATAAAATCACAAAGACGGGGAAAAAACAGAGCAGAAAAACTGGAAACTCTAAAAATCAGAGTGCCTCTCCTCCTCCAAAGGAACACAGCTCCTCACCAGCAACGGAACAAAGCTGGATGGAGAATGACTTTGACGAGTTGAGAGAAGAAGGCTTCAGATGATCACACTACTCCGAGCTACAGGAGGAAATTCCAACCAATGGCAAAGAAGTTAAAAACTTTGAAAAAAAATTAAACGAATGTATAACTAGAATAACCTATGCAGAGAAGTCCTTAAAGGACCAGATGGAGCTGAAAACCAAGGCACGAGAGCTACTTGACAAATGCAGAAGCCTCAGTAGCCGATGCGATCAACTGGAAGAAAGGGTATCAGTGATGGAAGATGAAATGAATGAAATGAAGCGAGAAGAGAAGTTTAGAGAAAAAAGAATAAAAAGAAACAAATAAAGCCTCCAAGAAATATGGGACTATGTGAAAAGACCAAATCTACGTCTGATTGGTGTACCTAAAAGTGATGGGGAGAATGCAACCAAGTTGGAAAACACTCTGCAGGACATTATCCAGGAGAACTTCCCCAATCTAGCAAGGCAGGCCAACATTCAACTTCAGGAAATACGGAGAATGACCCAAAGATACTCCTCGAGAACAGCAACTCCAAGACACATAATTGTCAGATTCACCAAAGTTGAAATGAAGGAAAAAATGTTAAGGGCAGCCAGAGAGAAAGGTCGGGTTACCCACAAAGGGAAGCCCATCAGACTAATAGCGGATCTCTCGGCAGAAATCCTACAAGCCAGAAGAGAGTGGGGACCAATATTCAACATTCTTAAAGAAAAGAATTTTCAACCCAGAATCTCATATCCAGCCAAACTAAGCTTCATAAGTGAAGGAGAAATAAAATACTTTACAGACAAGCAAATGCTGAGAGATTTTGTCACCACCAGGTCTGCCCTAAAAGAGCTCCTGAAGGAAGCACTAAACATGGAAAGGAACAACTGGTACCAGCCACTGCAAAAACATGCCAAATTGTAAAGACCATCAAGGCCAGGAAGAAACTGCATCAACTAATGAGCAAAATAACCAGCTAACATCATAATGACAGGATCAAATTCACACATAACAATATTAACTTTAAATGTAAATGGGCTAAATGCTCCAATGAAAAAACACAGACTGGCAAATTGGATAAAGAGTCAAGACCCATCAGTGTGCTGTATTCAGGAAACCCATCTCACATGCAGAGACACACATAGGCTCAAAATAAAGGGATGGAGGAAGATCTACCAAGCAAATGGAAAACAAAAAAAGGCAGAGGTTGCAATCCTAGTCTCTGATAAAACAGACTTTAAACCAACAAAGATCAAAAGAGACAAAGAAGGCCATTACATAATGGTAAAGGGATCAATTCAACAAGAAGAGCTAACTGTCTTAAATATATATGCACCCAATACAGGAGCACCCAGATTCATAAAGCAAGTCCTTAGTGACCTACAAAGAGACTTAGACTCCCACACATTAATAATGGGAGACTAACACCCCACTGTCAACATTAGACAGATCAACGAGACAGAAAGTTAACAAGGACACCCAATAATTGAACTCAGCTCTGCACCAAGCGGACCTAATAGACATCTACAGAACTCTCCACCCCAAATCAACAGAATATACATTCTTTTCAGCACCACACCACACCTACTCCAAAATTGACCACATAGTTGGAAGTGAAGCACTCCTCAGCAAATGTAAAAGAACAGAAATTATAACAAACTGTCTCTCAGACCACAGTGCAATCAAACTAGAACTCAGGATTAAGAAATTCACTCAAAACCACTCAACTACATGGAAACTGAACAACCTGCTTCTGAATGACTACTGGGTAAATAATGAAATTAAGGCAGAAATAAAGATGTTCTTTGAAACCAACGAGAACAAAGACACAACATACCAGAATCTCTGGGACACATTCAAAGCAGTGTGTAAAGGGAAATTTCTAGCACTAAATGCCCACAAGAGAAAGCAGGAAAGATCTAAAATTGACACCCTAATATCACAATTAAAAAAACTAGAAAAGCAAGAGCAAACACATTCAAAAGCTAGCAGAAGGCAAGAAATAACTAAGATCAGAGCACAGCTGAAGGAAATAGAGACACAAAAAACCCTTCAAAAAATTAATGAATCCAGGAGCTGGTTTTTTGAAAAGATCAACAAAATTGATAGACCGCTAGCAAGACTAATAAAGAAGAAAAGAGAGAAGAATCAAATAGACACAATAAAAAGTGATAAAGGGGATATCACCACCGATCCCACAGAAATACAAACTACCATCGGAGAATACTATAAAAACCTCTACACAAATAAAGTAGAAAACCTAGAAGAAATGGATAAATTCCTCAACACATACATCCTCCCAAGACTAAACCAGGAAGAAGTTGAATCTCTGAATAGACCAATAACAGGCTCTGAAATTGAGGCAATAATCAGTAGCTTACCAACTAAAAAAAGTCCAGGACCAGACGGATTCACAGCTGAATTCTACCAGAGGTACAAAGAGGAGCTGGTACCATTCCTTCTGAAACTATTCCAATCAATAGAAAAAGAAGGAATCCTCCCTAACTCATTTTATGAGGCCAGCATCATCCTGATACCAAAGCCTGGCAAAGATACAACCAAAAAAGAGAATTTTAGACTAATATCCTTGATGAACATTGATGCAAAAATCCTCAATAAAATACTGGCAAACTGAATCCAGCAGCACATCAAAAAGCTTATCCACCATGATCAAGTGGGCTTCATCCCTGGAATGCAAGGCTGGTTCAACATATGCAAATCAATAAATGTAATCCAACATATAAACAGAACAAAAACCAAAACCACATGATTATCTCAATAGATGCAGAAAAGGCCTTTGACAAAATTCAACAACACTTCATGCTAAAAACTCTCAATAAATTAGGTATTGATGGGATGTATCTCAAAATAATAAGAGCTATCTATGACAAACCCACAGCCAATATCATACAGAATGGGCAAAAACTGGAAGCATTCCCTTTGAAAACTGGCACAAGACAGGGATGCCCTCTCTCACCACTCTTATTCAACATAGTGTTGGAAGTTCTGGCCAGGGCAATCAGGCAGGAGAAGGAAATAAAGGGTATTCAATTAGGAGAAGAGGAAGTCAAATTGTCCCTGTTTGCAGATGACATGATTGTATATCTAGAAAACCCCATCATCACAGCCCAAAATCTCCTCAAGCTGATAAACAACTTCAGCAAAGTCTCAGGATACAAAATCAGCGTACCCAAATCACAAGCATTCTTATACACCAATAACAGACAAACAGAGAGGCAAATCATGAGTCAACTCCCATTCACAATTGCTTCAAAGAGAATAAAATACTTAGGAATCCAACTTACAAGGGAGTTGAAGGACCTCTTCAAGGAGAACTACAAACCACTGCTCAATGAAATAAAAGAGGATACTACCAAATGGAAGAACATTCCATGTTCATGGGTAGGAAGAATCAATATCGTGAAAATGGCCATACTGTCCAGGGTAATTTATAGATTCAATGCCATCCCCATCAAGCTACCAATGATCTTCACAGAACTGGAAAAAACTACTTTAAAGTTCATAGGGAACCAAAAAAGAGCCCGCATTGCCAAGTCAATCCTAAGCCAAAAGAACAAAGCTGGAGGCATCACGCTACCTGACTTCAAACTATACTACAAGTCTACAGTAACCAAAACAGCATGGTACTGGTACCAAAACAGAGATATAGATCAATGGAACCGAACAGAGCCCTCAGAAATAATGCCGCATATCTACAACTATCTGATCTTTGACAAACCTGACAAAAACAAGCAATGGGGAAAGGATTCCCTATTTAATAAATGGTGCTTGGAAAACTGGCTAGCCATATATAGAAAGCTGAAACTGGATCCCTTCTTTCACGTTATACAAAAATTAATTCAAGATGGTTTAAAGACTTAAATGTTAGACCTAAAACCATAAAAACCCTAGAAGAAAACATAGGCAATACCATTCAGGACATAGGCATGGGCAAGGACTTCATGTCTAAAACACCAAAAGCAATGGCGACAAAAGCCAAAATTGACAAATGGGATCTAATTAAACTAAAGAGCTTCTGCACAGCAAAAGAAACTACCATCAGAGTGAATAGGCAACCTACAGAATGGGAGAAAATTTTTGCAACCTACTCATCTGACAAAGGGCTAATATCTAGAATCTACAATGAACTCAAACAAATTTACAAGAAAAAAACAACCCCATCAACAAGTGGGCGAAGGATATGAATAGACACTTCTCAAAAGAAGACATTTATGCAGCTAAAAAACACATGAAAAAATGCTCGTCATCACTGGCCATCAGAGAAATGCAAATCAAAACCACAATGAGATACCATCTCACACCAGTTAGAATGGCAATCATTAAAAAGTCAGGAAACAACAGGTGCTGGAGAGGATGTGGAGAAATAGGAACACTTTTACACTGTTGGTGGGACTGTAAACTAGTTCAACCACTGTGGAAGTCGGTGTGGTGATTCCTCACGGATCTAGAACTAGAAATACCATTTGACCCAGCCATCCCATTACTGGGTATATACCCAAAGGATTATAAATCATGCTGCTATAAAGACACATGCACATGTATGTTTATAGCGGCACTATTCACAATAGCAAAGACTTGGAACCAACCTAAATGTCCAACAACGATAGACTGGATTAAGAAAATGTGGCACATATACATCATGGAACACTATGCAGCCATAAAAAATGGTGAGTTCATGTCCTTTGTAGGGACATGGATGAAACTGGAAACCATCATTCTCAGCAAACTATCGCAAGAACAAAAAACCAAACACCGCATCTTCTCACTCATAGCTGGGAATTCAACAATGAGAGCACATGGTCACAGGAAGGGGAACATCACACAGGGGACGGTTGTGGGGTGGAGGGAGGGGGGGAGGGATAGCATTAGGAGATATACCTAATGCTAAATGACGAGTTAATGGGTGCAGCTCACTAACATGCCACATGTATACATACGTAACAAAGCTGCACGTTGTGCACATGTACTCTAAAACTTAAAGTATAATAATAATAAAATAAAATAAAATAAAGAAAAAATAAAAATAGAGCAATAATGACTGATAATTCTGCATAATTAATGATAGATTAAAAAAACACAGAAACAGGAAACTCAGAGGACACCAAGCAGGATAAATACCAAAAACATCAACTTCTAGGTATACAATATTCAAGGTACACAAAATCAAAGACAAAGAGAATGGCTTGAAAAAAAGCCATAAGGCCTGGTGCACACCTTATTTAGAGAATTACCGCAGACTTATTTTTACAAAACATGAGAACAAGAAAAGTGTAGCGAGAAATATTTAAAGTGTTGAAAAAATCCTCGGCAACTTAGAATTCTGAATACAGTGAAATTTATTTTTCATAATTGAAGGAAAAGTATAATTTCTCAGACAAAAATAAATGACGGACTTTGTCACAGTAGACTTGTCTTGCAAGTAATGTGAAAATGAGTTATTGAGGAAGAAAATAACAAAGCTTAAAAACCCAGATATATATATATATATATATATATATATATATATAAAAGGAACAGCATTAGAAAAGAAATAAATGAAGGTAAAAGTAAATATTTTACTTCCTTATTCTTAATTGATTTAACAGATAAAAATGTGGTCAAAATAGTGATAGCAACAAGGTATTCAGGGAGTATAACTTACAAATAAGTAAACAAATAACAAAATGATGTAAATGACTGGTGAGAGAAATTAGAAATACTCTACTATTATGCTTACATTACCCATGAAGTGGTATAGTGTTATTTGCAAGAGGACTTTGATTAGATGTGAACTTTGATTAGATGTGAATGCATATTGCAAACTCAGAACAACTAAAATTAGTTTTTTAAAAATATAATTCATATGCTAAGAGGGGAGGGAGACAGACTTAAAAATTCTCAATTAAAACCAGGGAAGGAAAATAGCTGTGTTAAGGAAACAAAAATAAATTCAAGATAATACAGAGAAAGAATTCAGAATACTCTCAAATAAATTTAACAAAAAGATCGAAATATTAAAAAAATCATACAGACATTTTGGAGCTGAAAAATGAAATTGGCATACTGAGGAATGCATCAGAGTTTTTAAATAGCAGAATTGGTCAAGCAGAAGAAAGCATTAGTTACCTTGAAGATAGGCTATTTAAAAATACACAGTCAGAAAACACAACGGCAACAAAATAACGAAGCATTCCTACATGATCTAGAAAATAGCCTCAGAAAAGCAAATTTAAGAGTTATTGGCCTTAAAGATGAGATAGAGAAAGAGATAGGTATATAAACTTTATTCAAAGGGATAATAACACAGAACTTCTGAAACCTATGGAAAGGTATCAATATTTAAGTACAAGAAGGTTATAGAACACCAAGCAGATTTAACCCAAAAAAGGCTACCTCAAGGCATTTAATAAGCAAACTACCAAAGGTCAAGGATAAAAAAGGAATCCTAAAAGCAGCTAGAGAAAAAAAAAAAAAAACACGCACACATACAATAAAGCTTTAATACATCTAGCAGCAGACTTTTTAGTGGAAACCTTACAGGACAGGAGAGTGGAATGACATATTTAAAGTGCTAAGGGAAAAATATTTTACCCTAGAATCGTACATCTGGTGAAAATATACTTAAAACATGAAGGAGAAATAAAGAGTTTCTCAAACAAAAGCTGAAGGATTTCATCAACACCAGACCTATTGTACAATAAATGCTAAAGGAAGTGCTTCAATCAGAAAGGAAAGGACATTGATGAATAATAAGTAATCACCCGAAGGTACAAAACTCACTAGTAATAGAAAGTACACAGAAAAACACAAAATATTCTAACACTAGAACTGTGGTGTGTAAGTTACTCTTGTCCTAAATACAAAGACTAAACAGTGAACAAATCAAAACTAATGACTACAAAATCTTTTCAAGACATAGTCAATACAATAAGATATAAATAGAAACAACAAAAAGATACAAAGAGGGAAAGCAAACTTAAGAAATAAAATTTTTAGTATTTTTCTTTCTGCTTGTTTGGTTATGCAAAGAGTGTTGTTGTAAGATTAAAATACAGGGTTATAAAATAATATTTGCAAGCAGTATGGCAAACTCAAACCAAAAAAACATGCAATGAGGGCACAAAAAATAAAAAGCAAGAAACTAAAACATATCACCAGAGAAAAATCAACTCCACTAAAAGGAAGACAGAAAGGAGTGAAAGAAGAAAGAAATGACAACAAAACAGCCAGAAAACACATAACAAAATGGCAGGAGTAAGTTCTGACTTACCAATAACAACATTGAATGTAAATGGACTAAATTGTCCAATCAAAAGGCATAGACTGGTTAAATGTATGAAGAAACAAGACCCAATAATTTGTTTTCCACAAGAAACACACTTCACCTATAAAGACACACATATATTTAAAATAGAGGCATGGAAAAAGATGTTCCATGCCAATGGAAACCAAAGAAGAGCATGAGTTGCTATACTTATAGCAGACAAAATGTAATTCAAGACAAAAACTATAAGAAGAGACAAAGAAGGTCACTTCAGTAAGAAGATATAACAAATTTAAATATATATGCACCCAACACTGGAATACCCAGATATATAAAACAAATACTGTTAGAGCTGAGAGAGAGATAGGTCCCAATACAATAACAGCTGGAGACTTCAACACTTTACCCTTAGCATTGGAAAGATCTTCCAGACAGAAAATCAACAAAGAGAAATCTACATTATAGGCCAAATTGATCTAATAGATATTTACAGAGCATTCCATCCGACATCTTCAAAATAAGCATTATTTTCCTCAGCACAAGGATCATTATCAAGGATAGACTATATTTTTTTAAAAACAAATCTTAAAATATGTTTTAAAAATGAAATATTACCAAGCATCTGCACTGGCCACAATGAAATATAACTAAAAATTAATAACATGAGGAATTTTGGAAAGTATACAAATACACAAAAATTAGACAATATGCTGCTGAGTGATCAGTGGATCAATGAAGAAATTAAGAAAAAAAATTAAAACTTTCTTTAAGCAAAAGATAATGACAAAACACCTACCAAAACCTATGCAATACAGCCAAAGAACTACTAAGAAGGAATTTTATAGCTGTAAGTGCCTACATCTAAAAAGAGGAAATACTTCAAATAAACAATCTAATGATGTATCTTAAAGAGCTAGAAAAGCAAGGACAAACCATACCCAAAATTATTAGAATGAAAAAAAATAAACATCAGAGCAGAAGTAAATGAAATTACAGTGAAGAAAACAATACAAAAGGTCAATGAAATAAAAAAGGTTTTATTTTGAAAATTTAAATAGTAATTGATAAACCTTTAGTCAGACTAACTCAGAAAAAAAAGATCCAAATAAATAAAATCAGAGATGAAAAAGAAGACATTACAACTGATACTGCAGAAATGTAAAGGATCATTAATGTCTACTACAAGAAATGTATGCCAATAAATTGAAAACTTTAGAATAATTGGACAAATTCCTAGATGCACAGACCTATGAAGACTGAATCAGAAAGAAACCCAAAAATATGAATACACCAACAACAAGTAATGGCTTTGAATCCATAATAAAATGTCTCCCAGAAAAAAAAAAAAAAAAAAAGCCCAGGACCTGATGGCTTCACTGCTGAATTGCACTAAATATTTAAAGAATAACTAATACCAATTATATCCAAACACTTCCGAAAAATAGAGTAGGAGGAAATACTTCTAAACTAATTCTATGAAACCATTATTGCCCTGATACCAAAATCAGACAAAGACACATCAAAAACAAAACAAAACAAGACAAAACCTGTAAGTCAAATTCTCTGATGAATATTGATGCAAAAATCCTAAACAAAATACTAGCAAACGGAATTCAATAATACATTAGAAAGATCACGCATCACAATCAAGTGGGATTTATCTATGGGATAAAAGGATCATTCAAGATATGCAAATGATCAATGTGATACATCATATCAACAGAGTGAAAAATAAAACCATATGATCATTTCTATTGATGCTGAAAAAGCATTTGAGAAAATTCAACATCCTTTCATGATGAAAACCCTCAAAAACTGGGTATAAATGGAATATACCTCAACATAATAAAAGCCATTGTATTAGTCCATTCTCACACTGCTATAAAGAAATACTCAAGACTTGGTAATTTAAGAAAATAAAAAAGGTTTCATTGACTCACAGTTCTGTATGGCCGGAGAGGCCTCTGGAAACTTACAATAATGGCAGAAGGCGAAGCAGAAGCAGGCAGCTTCTTTACAAGGTGGCAGAAGAGAGAGTAAATGTGAGCAGGGGAAATGCCAGAGGCTTATAAAACCATCAGATCTCATAAGAACTCGCTCACTATCACGAGAAGAGCATGCGGGAAATGGCCCCCGTGATCCAGTCACTTCCCACTGGGTTCCTCCCAATGACACGTGGGGAATAGGGGAATTATGGGGATTAAAATTCAAGATGAGATTTGGGTAGGGACACAGCCAAATCATATCAGCCATATAGGACAGACCCACAGCTAGTATCATACTAAATAGAGAAAAAATGAAAGCCTTTCCTCTAAGATCTGGCACATAAAAGGGATACCCACTGTCACCACTGTTATTCCACATAGTACTGGAAGTCACAGCTATAACAATTAGACAAGAGAAACATGTAAGGTGCATCTGAATTGGAATGGAAAAAGTCAAATTATCCTTCCTTGCAGATGATATGATCTTATATTTAGAAAAACCTAAAAGACTCCACAAAAAAACTATTTTTCAGTAAATTTTCAGGATACAAAATCAACATACAAAAATCAGTAGCATTCCTATATGCCAACAGTAAACAATCTGAAAAAGAAATTTAAAACAATAATCCCATTTACAATAGCCAGACATAAAGTTAAATACCTGGGAATTAACTAAAGAAGTGAAAGATCTCTATAATAAAAACTACAAAACACTCATAAAAGAAATTGAAGAGGACACCAAGAAATGGACCATGTTCATAGATTGGAAGAATCAATAATGTCAAAATATCTGTACAACCCAAAGCAATCTAAAAATTCAATGCAATACTTAACTCAAATACTAATGACCTTATTCACAGAAAAAAGAAAAAAAAATCCTAAAATTTATATGGATCCAAAAAAGACCCAGAATCGCCAAAGGTACCTTAAGCATAAAGAACAAAACTGGAGGAATCACATTACCTATCTTCAAATTATACTACAGAGCTATAGTAACAAAAACAGCATGGGCTGGCATAGAAACAGATACATAGACCAATGGAAGAGTATAGAGAACCCAGAAACAAATCCACACAAAGCTATAACGAACACATTTTTGACAACGGTGTCAAGAACTGGGGAAAAGACTATCTCTCAGTAAATGGTGCCAGAAAAACCAAATACCCATATGCAAAATAGTGAAACTAGACCTGTATCTCTCATCAAATACAAAAAACCAATTCAAAACAGATTAAAGACTTAAATCTAAGACCTCAAACTATGAAACTACTACAAGAAAACATCAGGGGAAACCTCCAGGACATTGTTCTGGCCCAAAATTTCTTTAAAAATTCTTCACAAGCACAGACAGACAAAGCAAAAATGGACAAATGGGATCACATCAAGATAAAAAGCTTCTGCACAGCAAAGGATACAATCAACAAAGTGAAGAGACAACCCACAGAATAGGAGAAAATATTTGACAAAGGATTAATAACCAGAATTTAAAGAAATTCTAACAAGTGTATATGAAAAAAATTGATCAAAATATGGGCAAAATATTTAAATAGGCACTTCTTAAAAGAAGACATACAAATGGCATACAGGCATATGAAAAGATGCTTATCATCATCAATCATCAAAGAAATGCAAATCAGAACTGCAATGGGATATTATCTTACCCCAGTTAAAATGCCTTATATCTAAAAGACAGCCAATAACAAAAGTTGGTGACGATGTGCAGAATAGGAAACATTTGTATGCTGTTGGCGGGAATATAAATTATTTTTTTACCAAAATGTTTAATAAGCACTTAGCCTCTGAAACTCAAAATCAGTTCATAACACATCTCGTTTCACTGAAATAAAGGTATACATTTTGCCAGTATTTTAATTAAAACTGTACATAACTCTACATTTCTCTGTTTTCTTGGGCTTTAATTTGAGTTTCTTTCAATGGAGTAATGGTGTCATATGTTATTAATATCCATGCTAAAATATTTATTCTTCCTAGTCCTTTTTCCTATTACCCCTTTTAGTTGATGCAGGCTGCAGGGAGTGCTGATTTATTATTATTTTGGGGCATTATTATTGATGCCCCAAAATATGACCTAGGGTTTCTGGAGAGGAGAAGCATGTCCTCAAGGAAGTATAATCCAATAAGAATAAAAAGTTATATGAGGTTTAGGATCCATTCCCATAAATTTTGGTAGGGTGTTAATATAGAGGCTGATATGAAGTCATCCCTCAAAATAACTTTTCCTCAGACCTTTGGTGAATCATATGACTTTGGCACTGGACGCAATTCTATTATAGTTGGTCACTTTTGCCTCCAAACTACTGTGTTACCCTTAGAAAGTTTCTCTTCTCCCAAGAGGCTTCTGAGGCTGGACTGAATAAATTAAAAGACCAGAGATTAAACACAATAATACATTCACTTAAGAAATAATTGTTAATTGTCTATTTATACCAGACATTGCAGTAAGCACTGGGAACCATCAGTAAATAATACAGACATATTCTATGCCTTTATGAGAAGATGTCCTGGTGGAGAAGGATAGAAAATAAATAAATATTTTCAAATATAATTACAGGTTATAGTAAGTACTCCTCTTTTTTCAACTATGAAGAGAGCAAAGAGGATGTTGTTATAGAAAATAATAGATAAGGGTTACTTTAGAAGAGATGGTTAGGAAAGCCTCACAGAAGTGCTGAAATTTAAGCTGAGACCCAAGAGTCCCAAAAGACACATTTATGCCGTGAAAGGCACCTGCAGAAGGAAAAAAAGAAACATAATATAAAAGTCCCTAAGCAGAAGTGAGCCTGATGTGCTCAAAGAATGGAAAGAAAGCTAGAGCATAGGGAACAAAAGGTGGTGTCGTGTGAAATGAGGCTGGGAAATAAAGAAGATCCACACCAAACAAAGCTTTGTAGATCAGAGTGAGAAGTTTGGATTTCATTTTAATTGCAATGGAAAAACAATTTTTAGATAAACAAATGACCTGATCTTATTTATACTTTAAAATAGATCTCTCTGTTATTTGGAGAATGGATCAGAGAAAGCCAGAAGTAGAAGCATAGAAAGAGGGAGGCCACATAAGAGACTCCTGGGATGGACCAGGCTAGAGATGACAGTGGCTCAGACTATGATAGTGGCAATAGAGATGAAAAGTAATGGCCAGAATTAAGATACATGTTTCAGAGGTACAACCCACAAGACTTGTTGAAGAATGAGGTATGGGCTACAGAGTGAAGGAACCAAAGGAATCAAAGAAGCCTTCTAGGTTTCTGTCTTGATCAACAGGGTGGATGGTGGTCCCATTTACTGTAATGAAAAAAAAAAAGGCAAGCATAGAAGAAAAAATGAAGTATCCTTTTTGGACAAATTGGAGATGCCTATGAATCATCTACACTAGATAAGTAGGTAGTTGCACATACAAATCACACTTAGATAAGTTAGAGCTGGAACTAAGGATTTGGATCTAATAAGCATATAGATACTCTAAACTGAGAGAATGAATGAGATCACCTAGGAGAGGGGCTAGCAACGAACTTGAGTTAGTTTTTTTAGCAATGTCTGTGTCAGTGTGCTTGACATCTGCAGTATTCTGATGATCAGTCTACCATACAGATCAATGTTTTAATTACACTGACCAAAAGTTATTGTCAAAATGTTTCATAAACAGTCCATGCTTATAGTTTAAAAAATAGAAAGATTCACTTACCCAGTTTCATCAATGCAATGCCAATAATCAGTTTCCTTTACTATTTGTTTTGTTTTAGAGTTTTTAAAATAACATTTTATTTTCTTATTTGACTGAATCAATCTATGGTTTTGATGTTCTACCATTATAGCAACACGTATATTTTTATTGTTTATTTTAGCTTAGACCTCTTTAGGATTTAGGCTTTAGTAGGTAAGGAGATCAAATACTAAAAAAGGAAGCTCACTCTCTCTATAATTTAATTTGCAAGTTTTGTGACTAAATGGCCGTATTGAGTCTCCTATTAATTAAACCTGGATACTTACGGAGCCACATGGTAACTAAGATATGCTCATGTCCTTTCCTAAAAAGGTTCCCAGATCTACGCTACCAACAATGGAAGTCACATGTTTCCAGGGGAAGGTCAATATCTTTGGCATTTCCTGCCTGCCATGGTTTGACAGATATTCTCTTCTGTTTTTTGTTTTTAAAAGACGTTTAAAACAAGATCACTTTTCAAATAGCTGGCTTATGCCAGTGAGGTGTCAGGATGAGCTTTTAGAAATGCTGTTTTATATTGATTTATTTATTATTTTGATCATTAAAACTTTTTTTTCTCATTCTGCAGATGTTTTAAGTTTATATTACTTTGTCCATCTCAATGAGTTTTCACATGAGATATGTCGGCATAATGTAATGGAAAGAACAAAGACTTTGGACACAACAGACCCAGTTTTCTGTGAGATCCTAATGTTATCTCCATTGTACAGATGATGAAACTAAAGGACCGAGAAGTTAAGTAACTTATCCAATGTTACATTGCTTGTAAGTGTCACAATCAGGATTTCAATGAAGGAAGTCTGACTCTGGAGTCCATGGTATAAACTGCTAGGCTCTACTGCCGCCAATTTACTCTTGCCCAAAATTACATACCATCTTATCCATCTCAGGAGACAAAATCATAACTTGATCCTACTCTCAGCAAATGCATAATCTCTGTTCCAGTTCTCATTTCACAATATTATTCTGCTTTCCATGACATGGGGAACACATGTATGCAAAATATAATTAGTTTAAATGCTTAGAGTAAAACAGGGGTTACATTAAATAGTCTAACCACTAAAATATGGTGGGAGAGGCTTAGACCCTGGTAGCTTAACTTATCTGCTCTCATGAAATTATCTGAGTAAAACACCACCAAACCAAACTGTTAAAGCAACAGCACTAATCAAAGTCAGGTTGCCTTAATGGGGCCAGAAACATAGATATTGAGGGGATAATCGAATGGGCTAGAGAGGGGACTGAGATGGAAACAGGAAATAAAGTCACGATATATACTCTCAGTTTGGTACAGAGCTCTTCATGGCTGTGCTTGCCTGAACTTATCTAAATTCTCCTCCACCGTGCCTTTCAGGAACACAGGTGCACTTCTTCCTGAATCCTAACAGGGAAAGAAAGACAATCGAATGCCCATCTATATATTTCCCCCAGCACCCTTTGCAGGCACACACACACACACACACACACACACACACACACACACACAGTCCTTTAAGAATGTTAAAGGTGTATGATTTTACTGAAAATCTGCTCTGGAAAAAAAATCACAACCACTTAACCAGAGCTTCCTGATTCTCAATGGTTATTTTCATATTTTTTCTTGAATAGTTGCAAACCCTTTGAGACTTTTCTTAATAAATATATGCATTTTCCTAACTTGCTTCATACATCATGATAAAACATAAGCTTCTGATAAACTCAACTCCAAAATAAATACTGTACAGGTCAAAATAAATGCCATTCAAAACAATAAAAGCAAAAAATAAAGTTTCCATATGCCTTATATCATAAGGTGCTTTCAGATCAGTAAGGAATGTCTGAATCTTTAAACTCTGTGAAATTGCTGACTAATTTGTGTGATAAGAAAATATTATAATGTCTATAAATAGTATTTACCTTAACCTATATACAATTTAAATGTTGATTCTTTATTCATTTATAAATATTTATTTCTGCCCGGGCGTGGTGTCTCACGCTTGTAATCCCAGCACTTTGGGAGGCTGAGGCGGGTGAATCACCTGAGGTCAGGAGTTCGAGACCAGCCTGGCCAACATGGTGAAACCCCGTCTCTACTAAAAATACAAAAAGTATCCGGGTGTGGTGGTGCATGCCTGTAATCCCGGCTACTCGGGAGGCTGAGGCAGGAGAATTGCTTGAATCTGGGAGGTGGAGGTTGCAGTGAGCTGAGATCACACCACTGCACTCCAGCCTGGGTGACAGAGTAAGACTCTGTCTCCAGAAAAAAAAAAAAAATTATTTCTAAGCACTGGAAATACAGCAGTGAATAAGCCATATATGGTGTTGCCATCATGGAGGAAGCTGACATTGAAGTCCTAAAAGGCCAGAAGTACCTAAAATAAAATAAGTAAGTTTCCTTTTATACTACCGTTCCATGGCCTGAATATATCTATTGTGAAAAATTGGGTCTCTTTTCTTGCGTACCGTTTCTTTTCCTTATACAAATATACATATGCACATGTAGATGCTTGTTTGTGTTTTGTACAAACATGGGATCATATTTTAAATCTTTTTATATAACTGGCTTTGTTTACTTAAGAAAACATCATGGGCATTGTTTCAGGTATTTTTATATAAATTTACCTTTCCTTCTTCTTACCTCCATTAGATTCCATTGCCACTATACCTTATATATTATTGTATTAACTCCCTATTAATAAACCTCAAAGTCACTTAACGTTTCATTATTGCAGCAAACGATGCAAAAATAAGTACTTTGGACCAGTCTCCCACATAGAGATAACTTTTTCTTCTGATAAATTCCCGAATATGAGGCTGCTGTCTCAAAAAGATGTAAATTTATAATTTAAAAAAATATTGCTGGATTACTTACTAACATTATTACCAAAAATAATAACAATAGTAATAATATCAGCTCACACTTAATAGGATCCACAATGTGCCAGAAACTATTGTAAGGACATAATCAATACTAAAATAATTCTGTAACATAGGAATTATTATCTCCATTTTTATAGATGAATCAACTGAATCAGGATTATAGATTTGTTAACTCACCCAAGGTCACACAATTAGCAACTGAGAGAGCTATTATTTAAACCCATGCAGTTTCTCTTGAGTCTGATAGAAAAAAAAGTTATTTTATTGTTGTTTTAAATTTTCTTCCTCTCATTATTAGAGCTGTTTAGCATTTTTGATATGTCTACTGTCTTCATTCCCTCTATTATGAATTGCTTATTTATATTCTCCCCATTTCCCAGCGTTGGTTGTTTTAGTCATAGCATGTTGTATGCACCATTTGTTATTTCTTGTAACAAGTATTTACAAGGAAAACACTTTGTTTTATGTTGCAATCATTTTCTTTCAGATTGTCATTTGTCTTTTGACTTGAATGATATTGCCTTTTGTCATACAGAAATAAGAAATCAATTTTTTTTCACTTATGGCTTTTGTGATCCTTGTCCTGCTTAAGAAGGCCTCCTCTATCTAAAGAATATACAAATATTATCCTATAATTTCTTATAGTATTTTATATGACTCATAATTATGTCTTTAATTCACTTGTAATTACTGTATAAATGGTATCAGGTTAGTTTCTACTTTTATTTTCTGCCAATCCATAGCTGGTAGATCCCAAACCATTTGGGGTCAAACCACATTGAATAGTCCATCCTTTCCTATGTTCTCTTTTAATAAATATGTAACTCTCATCTTTCTTTTTCACCCATTTTCTGAGATTCTTATATGATATTTCCCACCCACTCTCACTCTCGGTGTGTTTGACTATTACTCTTTTAATATAAAGGAAAGATAATACTTGTAATTTTGAGTGCCATGACTAATGAGGAAGGACAATGATATTTAGGTCCAGAGATGATAATACCTACTTTTCAGCCACAGAGGAAGTGTTTTCTCTTTGCCTTCTAAAAAGGCGAGCCTTGGGATTAAGTGGATTCATTTGGAAGTTCATTCTAACGATACCCAAATGGCAACAGAGGAATATGGGAAATCTGCTTTAAGACACATAAAAACCATAAGATACCTCTCTCAACTCCTAAATCTCCCCAGATTTCTAAATATACCTAATATAGAAACTCAAAAATACGTGTTTTCTAAGTAGAACGATTTGCATAACAGATTAAGTAAAATAGAAGGGGGAAATATTTCACCTTTCTTGGTAAACTTCTCACACAGTATAGTCAAAAACAGTGATGAAAATTTTATTCACACTATGCTTCCTGCAAGTCATCTATGTTTGTTTTTAATTCTACTTTCTAGCACTTCTCTTTATCAAGCATAAAAAATAGCAATTGTTGGCACTTCTGTTTCTTATGGTATAGAGCATAACACCTCAGGAGAAATGAGAAGCATTAAGACAATTTACGTTAAAATACGTTTTACAGATATCATTAAAGAGTGAACAAAATGAATCACAATACTTAACATGAAAAAGCTTTACCAAGCAGATGTCACAATCAAGTAGCAGAGCATTTGCATTTGAGAATTTGTATTAACTATAAGTCCTTTGACCTGATTTTGAGGAGATGTTTAGACAAAGTAAATAACTATAAATTCTATATTTTAACTCATCAATGTGCTTCATCTTATATAAACAATTTTAAATATATATGTCTAAATTTACAGAAACTATATATGAAAATCTAAGTGATATTCGTTTATCTACTGAAATTCTTTACAGTTAAAATGTATCTGTGTAGGCCTAGGATTTTTAGTATAGCAAAATCATGATGTATGAAAACAGATTCAGTGTAATGCAAAGTAATTTTCTTTCCACAATTTTTTCCCTTCTATTTTTACTGCTGGAATTGTTACAAGCATTTTAAAAGCTAACCTTACAGGAAGTTTTGTGGAAATCTTTAGACCAATATTTTTCAGAGGAAATTTTTTAAGAGAAACAAAAAGGAAATGGGAGTGGGGAGTAAAAATCCAGTCACACATTCACGACTTCTTTTTATTTTCCTGGAAAATACACCTAAACTATATATATGTATTCTTTTTTCTTGATACCATTATCGAGAACAGCCAGTTTTTAGGCATTGTGGACTTTAAATTTAATCTACAATCTAATTTTTCATCATCTAGGTTTAGTTTTCAGAAAATTCCCCTCAGGTGTTTCCTTCTGTCTTTGTCTAGTCTCTAGACTTTAGGTGAATTTTGTTCTTAATTTGGCTCTGTGATTTCTCCCTAGACTATAAATGGCACATAGGGGCTTAGTCTGCATTGCTTAACTTTCCCTAAGGTCATTATGCACATCGATCTCCAGGGATTTACTCTCTGTCACATCATTTCCTTTCCTTGTTCAATTAGGATTTATACTAAGCAGGTGGTAAATAATTGGCTCATTTCTTTATTAAATATAAGTATATTTACCAAGTATCATCAGCTATTACCAAGATAAGAAGGATTATATTTTAGCTAAACCAGCAGATTATAATGTCTTTGATCTTCCTCTCCTTTTACCAAATGCCAGAATCTCCTTTCAACTATTACCAGTCTACTAGGAACAGCCCCTTTAGTAAGTTTCCTGTTCTAATCATATTCTTATTGGTCTATAAAATGTTACTGGCACGTGTTAAGCTGAATGAGGGTTGATTCTGGTTTTTGAACACTGCTGCCGTGTGGAAAATTCTTAATCAACAAGCGGATTGCAGATAGAGCAACCAGATGAAAATACAAGACAGCAAGTTAAATTTGACTTTAGATAAACAATGGATAATGTTTAAGTCTAAGTATGTCTCATAAAACATATTAGATATACTTAGACTAAAAATATGAACTGTTTAAGATTCAGGTTGAACTGGGCACCCAGTATTATTATTCACTAAATTTGGCAATACTATTTACAGATCTGTCTTTACAAACATTTATACTTAATTTTATAATTTCCCAATGCTTCAGCAATTAGTACATGTAATTTCAATGCAAACATTCAGGAAGAGATCCTTCACTGTTGCATTGTAGTCTTATCTGCCAACATAATTATCCTTCCCGTTAAGCCTTTCTCATCCCAGCAGCCATTTTTATCACAGAAAGAATAAAGAAGCAAGATTGGTGGTAAGGAGTGAGAACTTTTGACCTGATCTAAAAACTTGTATTGAAATCACCCTCAATAAACAGAGAGAATGGCAAAATAATACTTCTAAAGATATCTTAAACTCATGGAGGGATTTTTTTTGTCATCTCTATAAAAAAAGCCATAAATGAGATGCAAGCAAAGACCCATAGTCTGGGGAAAGATTCTTAGGGCCCAATTAGGGGACAAAATTCACCCAGGGTCTAGAACATGGTTAACCCAAATAGAATTTTAGTTTTTTTATGAGTTTAGTGAACCTAGTACTTATGAAGGATAAATAAATCTTCAGTCTTGGTAGCTGTTTTAATTTCTCAGCCTGACCTAATTGTTTATAGTATTTATATTTATAAAAATTTTAGTTTCAAATCTGTTGCCACATATACCTGATCCTACAAGGAAACCACGAGGTGTACAAGAGTTACTAAGTTGGCTTGATAGATTCAGGAAACTCAATTTCACCTAGCCCATAGCACCAATAGACGGCTGATCCAGGATGAATAGCTAAGTCTTCTGATATAGATCTGGTGCTTTTGCAATATAGTATTTTTAACTTGCTAATTAACAGGTGTGCCTTATTTGGAGAACTGTACTTCTTAGCGGCATTTCCAAAGACTAACTTGAAGGTTCCCCTCATAATTCCAACAGCAGCTTCACAGTAAATCCAAATAGCCTTTAAACAAAAACAAAAACCGTTTGCTTTCCTTCCATCTGCTGTTTTAAGAAAAATTCCTTAGAACCCTTCCAATCAGAGTGTCTCACACCTATTTAACCAACTCCTACACAAAAAGTCTGAAACAGCAAATGACTTTGCTTAAAGATTGTTTTTCTTTCCAAATATAGCCTAGATATGTCAAAATACAGCCAAAACTGTGTAATAAATTCTACATTTGAAGAAATTGTAGACAGGGATATTGAAAATACTGTGTAACTTATACAAAAACCCAGATGTGAGGTCGTGCTCATCATTTTAGTGTTATGGAACTTAGAATGTCTTGGGACAGAGCAGATGGTAAGTGAATGCCATAAAGCCAAGATCTCAGAATAAAAAGAGTATCCATTGTGAGCCAATACAAAACCATTTCCTTTATACCTGCAAGACTGGAAGTTATATTATTTAAAATTTGTTATGTATCTAGTTTGTTAAATAAGTTAACTATCAAGTATTTGTATACATGTTTTTGTTACTATACTATGGGTCCAGGCATTATTTTATAATTCTTTGGTATTTTATGTAAACAACAATTCAAAGTATCACTTCAGTTTTTTTAAAATAGATATTACAACTGAGAGGATACAACTGACAAATTACACTGTTGATGGAAAAATGGTCAGATGAGTTAAGCAGCACCTCTATGCAGAACAGTACCCGAATGAGGCCTTTTTAGTCAGCATACATTATATTTCTTATTTCTACTAAAGTAAAATTTTCAAAAATTTGAAAACATAACTTACTTGCAAGTATAAAACAAACATTGTGTCCAAAATTGTATTCAATTCATGAGTTAATGAGATAACCAGTAATATAGTAAAACTATTTCAAAGGAGAACTTAAGGAAAATATACATAGAGTTAGTAAGAATGCTGAAATGAATTTGCAGAAAATGTGAAATAGTTTTATGTCTTATAGAACAATAATAACCATGTATGAGATTTTTTTCCAAGCAGCAATTAAAGGTGATTTTACTGAATCAAATCTATTTGCATAGCTTAAACAAACATCTGCATTACTATTAGATTTCTACAAGATTAACTCCTTACCCTACAAAATAGAAAACAGCCTAGCAAATTGAGAAATCAGTCAAAGTTAACACTCCTGTTAAACAATCCCCCAAATAATTCACTAGACAATTAGTAACCATACTCTAAAAGGACACCCAGGAATTTCTCCAGTTCATTTCCAAGTCTGGGACAATTTTTAATACTTCATTAGCTTAAATACTATCAGTCATTTCTATATATTTGTTTATAGTGATTCATTATAAATTGATCTTATTTTATATATCTGTTAATGCATCAGTAATATTAACAATGCAGCTTATAAAACATCTGAAATATAAATGTTATTTTTAAAATAGTTATATCTATATTATCAAAATATTTTCCTTTTTTTAGGAGGTGGGGTATGCTTTTGGAGATGATTCATCTGTTTTGAAAATAATATTCCATGAGAATAGAATTAACCTTAAAAATGCTATACATAGTAAGGTTGCTCAACAAAAAGCAAACACAGACTATGTCTTTCACTCAATATTGCTGGTCCTCTCTATAGTGTGGCTCTTCCCTTTGGTGTGCTCTGTTTAAAGTCATGGTGTTGGTAAATTTTACGCTAAACTGTAGACTGTGACAGGACATTATCATGACTAACCATATAGCCATCCTAGTACCCTCTTATAGAAAACTCCTAGGCTGGATGTTTTGCAAATGAAATGTGGGTATTGGTAGTGTCCATCAGTTGAAATGACTCCCCACAAAATAGCCTCTATACAAGTTCTCCATATTAAAGAAACATGTCAAAAATAGAGCTACATTTATAGAAATAAGCTGTTATTATAATTCCCTCATTTTAATTTTACTTCACAAGGTACATTTTGACTTTTAACATAGAAGTCTTACAAAATAAGTACATTAGCAATAAATAGCTGAAGCTTTCAAAAACAAGCCATTAAATGACATTACACATGATGTAATGAATGCCCTTCTAGGAGTAACAGTGAAAGGCATGGGGTTTGAAAAGGGAATATTTACTTCTGGAAAGAGAAAGCTAAAAAACAAATGTAAAGGGCCAAGCAACCACTAAGACACAGTTTTCCTCATGTTATGAACTTAAACTGTATCTGAAGGGTACAGTTTAAGATCCTGAATTTAATATTTTGGTATTATATATAGATATTTAAGTATAATGATTGTTAATACACAAAATAAAACAAGGAAAATATTCCCTCATTTAACTTTTGTTAATTATTTGCAACCATACTCTATTACATTATTTTTAAGAAATAGGCAAAATCTTGAAGTTAAAAGAAGACTATTTACTTTGCATAAAAAAAGATAATCATGGTTTAAGGGAAAGAGGAACAGACTTTTTTTTCTTACAATCTTGTCTTCTTCCTCTTAGACTCTTGTACAATTTTTGGTCTTAAAACTTTTAAAAATATTGCACTTTAAAATTACTGAGAACCCTTTCTATTTGATGTTGTACTAGAAGTCTCAGAGACAGCAATTAGGCAAGAAAAAGAAACCAAATCATCCAAATCAGAAAAGAGGAAGTGTTAGAGTAAGCAGATAGCCAGAAATGAGCAGGCAAGGGAGCTCCCTGGGAAAAGGAGTCCTGAAGATGTTGCCCAATGATAGTTGGCACTGTCCGCTGACAGTCAGTAAAAAACAAAAAACATTGCCCTCAACGTCCACTTTGTCAAGCTCATTTCCTGGTATGACGATGAATTTGGCTACAGCAACAGTGTGGTGGACCTCATGGCCCACGTGGCCTCCAAGGAGTAAGACCCCTGGACCACCAGCCCCAGGGAGAGCACGAGAGGAAGAGAGAGGCCCTCACTCCTGGGGGGTCCTTGCCACTCTCAGTCCCTCACCAAACTGAATCTCACCTTCTCAGTTTCCAGGCCGATCCCTTGAAGAGGGAGGGGCCTAGGGAGCCCCACCTTGAGTGTACCATCAGTAAAGTCCCCTGTGCTCAGCCAAAACAAACAAACAAACAAACAAACAATGGCTATACTGGCTACTTCTGGACTTGTTGCATTCCTTCAGCCCTAAACGGGGACCTCTCAGGCCCTAGCTTGAAATAACCATGCTGGGGATTTTCCCTGCTGAGGAGAATGCACACTCCTCCAAAACCTTGCCCTAGCATAGTCTTTTGCTCATGATAGTAGTAAAAAAGACACCTCTGGGTGGAGATTTTAAATGCTAATGAGACATGCGATGTGTTTACTAGCATGTACAACCACGGAGCATGTATGCCCAAAATGACTTCCTGAAACATGCTTGCAAGTACCACTCCCTTATACCCTTCATGAATAATCATGTAAGATTCTCATAAACAGAGTTCCCCAGCATTTCCTGCTGCTGGATCATTCTCTCTAACAGCCCACTCTATCTCATCTTTCAGAGTATACTGTGTCTTTAAATAAACACTGTAACTACTATTTTTCCATATGGAACCGCTGTTTTTCACACCTCTCTAGGAATGTATTTTATCTTCCTTCAATAAACTCTACTACTTAACCTTTCCTATGCATCTCTTGGCTACATAATTTCTTCGAAGTTAGACGAGAACTGGGGATTCCCACACTTCCTGGTAACAGAAGTAAAATTAATTCTGTTTGCAGATAACCTAATTCCATATTTAAAAAACTCTAAAGATTACACACACCACACACACACTGAGACTGTTATAACTAAAAAATGAATTCAGCAAAGTTAAAAGATAAAATCAACATCAAAAAATCAGTTGCATTTCTACACACTGACAATGAACAATCCAAAAAGAAAATTGACAATTCCATTTGCAATAGCATCCAAAATAATAAAATACTTAGGAATAAACTTAACCAAAGAGATGAAAGACTTGTACACTGAAAACTGTAAAACACTACAGAAAGAAATCAGAAGAGACAACTAATAAGTAGAAAAACACATGATATTCATGAATTGGAAAACTTAATACCATTAATCCATGCTACCCAAAGTAATCTATAGATTCAATGCAATCCCTATCAAAATCCCAATGACACTTTTTGCAGAAATAGGAAAACTCATCTTAAAATTTACACGGAATCTCAAAGTACCTTGGATAATAAAACAATCAAAAATAATAAAATTAGAGATCTCATACTTCCTGATTTTCAAACTTACTTTTTTTCTGGGAGGAAAAAGTTTTCCTCTACTCACTTAGGTTTAATATTTAAGACCCTGTGAATAAATTGACGAAAGATAGATTAACAAGAGAAAAGACAAGGTTTATTCACATGCATATGAGTACATTAAAGAAGTGGCTTGCTCAATAATTAGAAATACAGTTTTATACCAAACACCGCATGTTCTCACTCATAAATAGGAGTTGAGCAATGAGAACACATGGACGCAGGGAGGGGCACAACACATACCTGGGACAATCGGGGGGAGGGTGCGAGGGGAGGGAGAGCATTAGGACAAATAACTAATTCATTCAGGGCTTAAAATCTAGATGATGGGTTGGTAGATACAGCAAACCACCATGGCGCCCGTATACCTAGGTAACAAATCTACACATTCTGCTCTTGTATCCCGGAACTTAAAGTAAATTTTTTTTTTTTTATAAAAAGGATTTTATATATCTAACTTAATAGGAAAAAGGAAGTGGGGAGAAAAGGGCTTCTATGGGAAGACTGAATGGCTTTTCAAAGGAAAGACAAATGGGTTTTTAGAAGAACAAACAAGAGGTAAGAAAGTTTGTGATAAAGTGTGTTTATGCAGGTGTGAGTGGTCTTCTCTGTCTTCATTGACAATAAAACTTCCCTGGAAAGTTTTATTGTCAATAAAGAGATACTTCACTCTCAGAAGTTTCTATCTCTAGTCAGATAAGGAAGGTTCTAAAAAAGCTTATTTTTGCATCTGTTGAATCACAAATGTCTTCAGCTTAAAAATAATTTTTATGCCACAAATTTACATTCTGAATCTCTTTACTCTTAAACTACAGTAATCTAAATGTACATTACTGGCATAAAAATAATCACTTAAACCAATGGAATAAAGGGCCTATTAACAAACCCTCACCTACATGGTCAAATGATTTTTTTTTAAATTCAGGGGTACACATGCAGGTTTGTTATATACGTAAACTTGTGTCACAAGGGTTAGATTTACAGGTTGTTTCATTACCCAGGTATTAAGCCTATTATTCATTAGACATTTTTTTCTAATCTTTCTGCCTCCTCCCATCCACCACCCTCCAATAAACCCCAGTGTCTGTTGTTCCTTTCTTTGTGTTCATGTATTCTCATCATTTAGCGCCCACTTATAAATTAGAACACGTGGTATTTGATTTTCTGCTCCTGCATTAGTTTGCTGATAATGGCCTCAAACTCCATCCATGTGCCTGCAAAGGATATGATCTTGTTCTTTTTATAACTGTGTAGTATTCCATGCCAGGGCCGTTCAGTGGGAGAAATACGTTGTTTTCAATAAACAGTGCTGGGAAAAACTGTAAACCTTACACGATGTGAAAAAACAATTTCAAAATGGAACAAAGACATCAATGTAAAACTAAAACTATAAAGCTCTTAGAAGAAAGCATAGAAGAAAGTTTATGACATTGGATTTAGCAACAATTTCTTGGATATGACACCAAAAGCACAGAAAATAAAAGAAAACCATACGTAAATTGGGCTGCATTGAAATTAAAAACTTCTGTGCATCAAAAGACATAATCAACAGAGTGAAAGGACAAGACACTGGATGGGAGAAAACATTTATATATAATATATCTCATTAGGAGTTCAGATGCAGAATATGAAAAGAATACCTACAACTCAAAAATTTCAAAAACAAACAACCTGATTTAAAAAAAAAATAGGCACAGGAAATGGGTAAACATTTCTCGAAAGAAGATATACAAAACGACTTATAAATACAGGAAAAGAAGCTGATCATCACCAATCGTTCGGGAATTGCAAATCCAAACCACAATGAGAACCACCTCACACACATTAGGGTGGCTACTATGTCTAAAAAACAGCAGAAAATAACAGTTGTTAGCAAGTGTGTAGAGTAATTGACACCCTTATGCACTATTTTTTGGGAAAGTAAAATGGTGCAGCCACTGTGGCAAATAGCATAGGAGTTCTTCAAAGTATTAAAAATAGAATCATCATATGACCCAGCAAATCTCTTTCTGGGTATATAACCAAAAAATTGAAAGTAGAAACTTGAACGTACATTTGTATATCCTTGTTCATAGCAGCATTTTTCACAATAGCCAAAAGGTGAAATCAACTCGTGTCCATTGATGGATAAGTGGATAAACAAAATGTGGTATACATCCACAATGAAATATTATTCAGCCAAAACGAAATTTTGACACATGATGCAACATGAATGAACTTCGAGGATACCATGCCAAGTGAAATAACCCAGTCACCAATGGACAAATACCGCATGATTCCACTGATATGAGCTACCTAGTATAGTCAAATTGAGAGACAGAGGATAGAATGATGGTTGCCAGAGACTGGATGGAGGCTGAAATGAGGAGTTCTGGTTTAATGACTACAGAGTTTCAATTTTCAAGATAAAAAGGGCTCTGGAGATGGATTGTAGTGGTAGTTGCATAACAGTGTGAATGTGCTTAATGCCATAGAACAGTACACTTAAAATGGGTAACATAATACATTTTGTGATGTGTATTTAATCACAATTTTAAAAATAATAATGAATTATTGAGGACCTTAAAGACCTTCTGTTTATTTTAACATTATTAATATAAATCATATTTTAAATTAAAGCTGAGAAATATAAGGCACTTAAATCTTAATATAACAATTTTTAAATAACAATTTTTAGAATGTATTTATAAAACCAACAAATGTGAACATAAATAAAACATATTTATCAAAATTATATTTAGCAAAAGAAAATTCTTAATGAGAAGACTGTCACAGTTTTATATTTTTGCAAACTCCATAAGGCATGGCTTAATAAAAGACATCTACATTCTCATAGTTTCTTTCATCTTCTGTGTGTTCCAAATGCTATTTTGGTTGAACTATATGAAGAAAATCATACCTCAAAAAGGATTGTAGTGAAAAAGATATATATTTTTTCTTAGACAGAGTCTCACCCTGTTGCCCAGGCTGGAGAGCAGTGGTGCGGTTTTGGCTCACTGCAACCTCCTCCTCCCAGGTTCAAGAGATCTCCTGCCTCAGCCTCCCTAGTAGCTGGGACTACAGGTGCCCACCACCACACCCGGCTAATTTTTTGTATATTTAGTAGAGACGGGGTTTCACCATGTTGGCTATCTATTCATGCCCTTTCCCATTTTTATTTATTTATTTTTTTTTTACTTCTTTGCTTGATAATTTAAGTTACTTATAGATTCTGAATATTAGACCTTTGTCAGTTTCATAGTTTTCAAATCGTTTCTTCCATTCTGTAGGCTTTCTGGTTACTCTTTGAAAGTTTCTTTTGCTGTGCAGAAGCTCTTTAGTTTAATTAGATCCAATTTGTCAATTATTGCTTTTGATGCAATTGTTTTCGGTGTCTTTGTCATGAAATCTTTGCCTGTTTCTATATGCAGAATGGTATTGCCTAGGTTGTCTTCCAAGGTTTTTATAGTTTTCAGATTTTTAAAAAGTTTTTAATCCATTTTGAATTGATTTTTATATATGGTGTAAAAAATGGGTTCCAGTTTTAATTTTCTGCATATGACTAGTCAGTTATCCCAGCACCTTTCCCCATTGCTTGTTTTTGTCAGCTTTGTCAAGGATCAGATAGTTGTAGATTTGTGGCCTTATTTCTGAGCTCTCTGTTCTGTCCCATTGGTCTAAATGTCTATTTTTGTACCAATACCATGATGTTTTAGGTACTGTAGCCTTGCAGTATAGTTTGAAGTCAGATGCCTGGGGCTTTGTGTTTTATTTTTATTTTTTGCTTAGGATTGTTGTGGGTATTCAAGCTCTTTTTTGGTTCCACATGAATTTTATAATAGTTTCTTCTAATTCTCTGAAAAATGATGTTGGTAATTTGATAGAAATAATATTGAATCTGTACATTGCTTTGTGTATTATGAGCATTTTAACAACATTAATTGTTTGTATCCACGAGCATGGAACATTTTTCCATTTGCTTTTGTCACTCTGATTTCTCTCAGCAGTGTTTTGTAATGCTTGTTGTGGAGATCTTTCACCTACCTGGTTAGATGTATTTCTAGGTATTTTGTTCTTTCTGTGGCTGTTGAGAATGGTATGCACTCTTGATTTTTCTCTCACCTTGAGTGTTATCAGTGTATAGAAATGCCACTAATTTTTGTACACAGTTTTGGTATCCTGAACCTTTACCAAAGTAGTTTATCAGTTCAAGGAGCCTTTGGGCAGAGACTATTGGGTTTTCTATGTATGGAATCATATAGTCTACAAAGAGAGAGAGTTTGATTTCCTTTCTTCCTATTTGGATGCCTTTCATTTTTTTTCCCTTACCTGATTTATCTGGCTAAGGCTTCCAGTACTATGTTTAACAGGAGCAGTGTGAGAAGACATCCCTGTCTTGTTTTAGGTTCTCAAAGGGAATGCTTCCAGCTTTTCCCCATTCAGTATAATATTGGCTGTGGGTTTGTCATAAATGACTCTTATTATTTTGAGATATACTTTTTTAATGCCTAGTTTGTTGAGGGTTTTTAACATGAAGGGATGTTGGATTTTATTAAAAGTCTTGATTGCATCTATTGCAATGATCATTTTGCTTTGTTTTTAGTTCTGTTTATGTGACGAGTCATATTTATTGATTTGAATATGTGGAACCATCTTTGCTTCCCAAGAATATAGCCTAATTGATCATGGTGGATTAGCATTTTGGTGTTCTACTGGAATTGATTTGCTAGTGTTTTGTTTAGGATTTTTGTCTATGTTTCTCAGGGGTATTGGTCTGACGTTTTCTTTATTGTTGTGTCTCTCGTAGGTTTTGGTATCACAATGACGTTGGCCTCATGGAATTAGTTAGGGAGGAGTCCCTCCTACTCCACTAAAAAAAATAATTTTAGTAGAGTTAGTACCTGCTCTTCTTTGTATATTTTGTAGAATTTTTCCATGAATCCATCTGGTCAAGGGCTTTTCCTGTTTGGTAGGCTTTTAATTACTGAATAAATTTTGGAACTAGTTATTTTTCTGTTCAGGATTTCAATTTATTTGTGGCTTAATCTTGAGGGGAGGGGGGTTGTATGTTTCCAGGAATTTATCCATGTATTCAGTGATTTCTAATTGGCAGTTTCTTGAATGTTAGTAATCATGCAGAATCTGAAACCATATTAATCAACTTTTCATACTCTTTACATTAAAATACATTTGTGTGCCTTGCACTTTGAGATGATCTTTTACCTCTGCATGATAAATTTTGTAACACAAAGCATTGGTCATTTAAAAATTATTGGCTCACTGACTTAACTCTTCCAAATATTACATATTTTAGTACAAAATGTAAATAACTCAATACTTGTTATTATCACAGTTATCTCATCAGAAACATCACAATGCACAGTATAAGGAAGCTGTTATGTGCTTACTGGCAGATACAGGTTTTTCACATTATTGTACATGAGTTGGCTTTATTGTGGTGCATGTGAGATTCTGAATGTCCAGAGCCTAGGCTGTAAAGAAGTCTTTCAGTTTCTGAACAGATGACTTTAACCTCAGCTGCAATCTGATTACAATATCAAAGAATCCAAGTGAACATTGTCAAGATGAGCTCAGTCCACTCACAGAACTGTCAGAGATAATTTGTTAAAGTCACTATTTTGGGATGGCGTATTACATGGAATTAGATAACCCAAATGGCACTTTCAGGTCTAACATACTATCATTTCTAAAGATGTAGTTTCATTGATTGATGGACATTTGAGCTGGTTCCATGATTTTGCTATTGCAAATTGTGCTGCTATAAACATGCATGTGCAAGTATCTTTTTCATATAATGACATATTTTCCTCTGAGTAGATATCAAGTGGATAAACTGTGGTGTATATATATGATAGAACACAACTCATCCATAAAAAGAAATGAATTAATGGCATTCACAGCAACCTGGATGGCATTGGAGGCTATCATTCTGAGTGAAGTAACTCAGGAATGGAAAACCAAACATCGTATATTCTCACTCGTAAGTGGGAAGTATGAGGATGCAAAGGCAGAAGACTGATACAATGGACTTTGGGAACTCAAGAGAAAAGGTGGGAGGTGAGTGAGGGATAAAATACTACAAATTGGGTACAGTGTATTCTTCTTGGGTGATGGTGTGCCAACAGCCAACATCATACTAAATGGGCAAAATTAAATAATGCCCCTTGAGAACTGGAATAAGACAAGGATTCCCACTCTCATTACTCCTATTCAGCATAATACCAGAAGCCTTAGGCAGAGCAATCAGGCAAGAGAAAGAAATAAAAGGCATTCAAATAGAAAAAGAAGTCAAATTACCTATCTTCACTGATTAAATGAATTTATATGTAGAAAATTCTAAAGACTCTGCCAAAAGGTTCCTAGAGCTGATAAACGATGTTAGCAAAGTTTCAGGATACAAAATTAATGTACAAAAATTAGTAGCATTTCTATCCACCAACAACATCGTGGCTGGGAGTGAAATTGAGAACATAATCACACTTACATTACCCACAAAGAAAATCTAGGAAAAGAGCTAACCAAGGAGGTGAATGATCTCTACAAGGAGAACTACAAAACACTGTTCAAAGAAATCTGAGATGATGCACATAAGTGAAAACATATTCCACACTCATGGATTGGAATAATCAGTGTCATAAAAATGGCCATACTTCCCAAAGCAGTCTACAGATTCAATGTCATTCCTATCAAAATACCAATGTCATTTTTAACAGATTAGACAAAAACTATTCTAAAATTCATGGAAAAGCAAATAAGAGCACCAATAGCCAAAGCAATCCTAAGCAAAAAACAAAACAAAACAAACAAAAAAAACAAAAACAAAAACAAAACAAAACAAAACAAAAAAAGCAGGAGGCATCACATTACCTGACTTCAAACCATACTGCTAGTAACCAAAACAGAATGGTAATGGTACAACACTGTTTACACAGTAAGCAGACACACAGACCCATGGAACAGAATAAACAGCCCAGAAATAAGGCTGAACACCTACAACCATTTGATCTTTTGACAAGGCTGACAAAAACAAGCAATGGGGAAAGGACTCCCTGTTCAATAAATGGTGTTGGGATAAATGGATAGCCATATGCAGAACATTGAACCTTTCACCATATACAAATATTTATTAACTAGAAATGGATCTAAGACTTAAGTATAAAACCTCAAACTATAAAAATCCTAAGAGACAATATAAGGAGCACTCTTCACAACATCAGTCTTAGCAAATAATTTTTGTCTAAAAGCAATTGCAACAAAAACAAAAGTGGACAATTGGGGACTAATTAAACTAAAAAGCTTCTGCACAGCCAAAGAAACTAATAACAGAGTAAATAAATAACCTACAGAATGAGAGGTATTCACAAACTATGCATCTAACAAAGGCATAATATCGAGTGATATGGTTTGGCTGTGTCCTCATCCAAATCTCATCTTGCATTGTAGCTCCCATAATTCTCACATGTCGTGGGAGGGATGTGGTGTGAGGTAATGGAATCATCAGGGCAGGTTTTCCCATGCTGTTCTCGTGATAGTGAATAAATGTCAGGAGATCTGATAGTTTTATAAAGAGGAGTTCCCCTGAATATGCTCTCTCTTGCTGGCCACCGTGTAAGACGTCCCTTGCTCTTCTGTCATAATTGTGAGGCTTCTCCAGCCATGTGGAACTGTGAATCAATTAAACCTTTTTCCTTTATAAATTACCCAGTCTCAGGTATGTTTTTATTAGCAGTGTGAGAACAAACTAATACATCCGGAATCTATAGGGAACTTAAATCAATAAGCAAAAGACAAGTAACCCAGTTTAAAAATGGGCAAAGGACATAAACATACATTTCTCAAAAGAAGACATACAAGTGGCCAACAAACATATGAAAAATGCTAAACATCATTAATTATCAGAGAAGTGCAAATCAAAACTACAATGAGATACCATCTCATACCAGTCACAATGGCTATTATTAAAAAGTTTAAAAAAAAGTATAGATGCTGGTGAGGCTGTGGAGAAATCTTTATACACTTTTGGTGAGGGTGTAAATTAGTCCTGCCACTGTGGAAAGCAGTCTGGATATTTCTCAAAGAGCTTGAAACAGAGCTATCATTTGACCCAGGCATCCCATCACTGTGTATAAACACAAACGAAAATCAGTAATTCTACCCAAAAGACACATGCACTTATTTGTTCATTGCTTCACTATTTACAATAGTAAAGACATGGAATTAAACTATGTGCCCATCAATGGTAGATTGAATAAAGAAAATGTACATATACATCATGGAATACTATGCAGACATAGAAAGAACAAACTCATGTCCTTTGCAGCAAAATGGATGCAGTTGGAGGCCATAATCCTAAATGAATTAACACAGGAAGAGAAAACCAGATACCTCATATTTTCATTTATAAGTGAGAGTTAAATACTGAGTAGGTTTGGACATAAACATGGGAATAATAGACACTTCATACTACCTGGATGGGGAGGAAAGGAGGAGAACACGAGCTAAAAACCTACCTATCAGGTACTATGCTCACTACTTGTGTAATGGGATCCATACCTCAATCCTCAGTATCATACAATATTCCCATGTAACAAATCTGCCTATGTATCTAATGTATCTAAAATAGATACTGAAATTTACAAAAATAAACTCTACTATTTATGTGTGTGTTTGTGTGTGTATAAACATATCTATATCTATATAAAGGTTATGTCTTGATGGGAAATTAACCATTTTTCGGACATTTTCTAGCATAAACCTAAATCCACAGACTTGAACCCTGTGAGGCTTTGTGATCCACCTATAGGCAGCCTCTCTCCTTATGGGGCCTGGAAAACAGAATTATCTCTTCATAGATATTAAATTAGTCCTTTTGTTATTATTACCTAATGTGGGCACATCATGATAATCTAAACTTCTTTTTCTCAAGATGTATGTAAATTATTAAATATATCAATATCAAATATGAAAATGTATGTATGACCTGAAGTAAAAACAACTGTAGCAAAAAATAGTTTTTGTTGTTGATGTTGTTTGTTTGTTTGTTTTTAAGGCAGAGTCTTGCTCTATCACCCAGGCTGGAATGCAGTGGTGCGATCTTGGCTCACTGCAACCTCTGCCTTCCAGGCTCAAGTGATTCTCCTGTCCCAGCCTCCTGAGTGGCTGGGATTACAGGTGCCTGCCACAACATCTGGCTAATTTTTGTACTTTTAGTAGAAATGGGGTTTTGCCAGGTTGGCCAGACTGGTCTCGAACTCCTGACTTAAAGTGATCCGCCCACCTTGGCCTCCCAAAGGGCTGGGACTACAGGCATGAGCCACCGTGCCTGGCTAAAAAATACTGCTTTGCACTTAATGCCAGTGGTATCAGTTAAAACATTGAAAGGATTTATGATGCCCTCTCTCACCACTCCTATTCAACATAGTGTTGGAAGTTCTGGCCAGGGCAATCAGGCAGGTGAAGGAAATAAAGGGTATTCAATTAGGAAAAGAGGAAGTTAAACTGTCCCTGTTTGCAGATGACATGACTGTATATCTAGAAAACCCCATTGTCTCAGCCCGAAACCTCCTTAAGCTGATAAGCAACTTCAGCAAAGTCTCAGGATACAAAATCAATGTACAAAAATCACAAGCATTCTTATACACCAATAAAAGACAAACGGAGAGCCAAATCATGAGTGAACAACCATTAACAATTGCTTCAAAGAGAATAAAATACCTAGGAATCCAACTTACGAGGGATGTGAAGGACCTCTTCAAGGAGAACTACAAACCACTGTTCAATGAAATAAAAGAGGATACAAACAAATGGAAGAACATTCCATGCTCATGAGTAGGAAGAATCAATATCATAAAAATGGCCATACTGCCCAAGGTAATTTATAGTTTCAATGCCATCACCATCAAGCTACCAATGACTTTCTTCACAGAATTGGAAGAAACTACTCTAAAGTTCATATGGAACCAAAAAAGAGCCTGCATCGCCAAGTCAATCCTAAGCCAAAAGAACAAAGCTGGAGGCATCACACTACCTGACTTCAAACTATACTACAAGGCTACAGTAACCAAAATAGCATGGTACTGGTACCAAAACAGAGATATAGACCAATGGAACAGAACAGAGCCCTCAGAAATAACGCCGCATATCTACAACTATCTGATCTTCGACAAACCTGAGAAAAACAAGCAATGGGGAAAGGATTCCCTATTTAATAAATGGTGCTGGGAAAACTGGCTAGCCATATGGAGAAAGCTGAAACTGGATCCCTTCCTTACACCTTACACAAAAATTAATTCAAGATGGCTTAAAGACTTAAATGTTAGACCTAAAACCATAAAAACCCTAGAAGAAAACTTAGGCAATACCATTCAGGAAATAGGCATGGTCAAGGACTTCATGTCTAAAACACCAAAAGCAATGGCAACAAAAGCCAAAATTGACAAATTGGGATCTAATTAAACTAAAGAGCTTCTGCACAGCAAAAGAAACTACCATCAGAGTGAACAGACAACCCACAGAATGGGAGAAAATTTTTGCAATCTACTCATCTGACAAAAGTTTGATATCCAGAATCTACAATGAACACAAACAAATTTACAAGAGAAAAACAAACAACCCCATCAACAAGTGGGCAAAGGATATGAACAGACATTTCTCAAAAGAAGACATTTATGCAGCCAAAAGACACGTGAAAAAATGCTCATTATCACTGGCCATCAGAGAAATGCAAATCAAAACCACAGTGAGATACCATCTCACACCAGTTAGAATGCTGATCATTAAAAAGTCAGGGAACAACAGGTGCTAGAGAGGATGTGGAGAAATAGGAACACTTTTACACTGTTGGTGGGACTGTAAACTAGTTCAACCATTGTGGAAGTCAGTGTGGCGATTCCTCAGGGATCTAGAACTAGAAATACCATTTGACCCAGCCATCCCATTACTGGATATATACCCAAAGGATTATAAATCATGCTGCTATAAAGACACATGCACATGTATGTTTATTGTGGCACTATTCACAATAGCAAAGACTTGGAACCAACCCAAATGTCCAACAATGATAGACTGGATTAAGAAAATGTGGCACATATACACCATGGAATACTACGCAGCCATAAAAAATGATGAGTTCATGTCCTTTGTAGGGACATGGATGAAGCTGGAAACCATCATTCTCAGCAAACTATCGCAAGGACAAAAAACCAAACACCGCATGTTCTCACTCATAGGTGGGAATTGAACAATGAGAACACATGGACAGAGGAAGGGGAACATCACACTCCGGGGCCTGTTGTGGGGTGGGAGGAAGGGGGAGGGATAGCATTAGGAGATATACCTAATGTTAAATGACGAGTTAATGGGTGCAGCACCCCAACATGGCACATGTATACATGTGTAACAAACCTGCACATTGTGCACATGTACCCTAAAACTTAAAGTATAATAATAACAAAACAACAACAACAACAAAAAGAAAGGATTTATGATCTTTTCCTTACAAATATCCATGGTACATCTTGCATTGAACGCTTGCTGTACATTGGTGTTTCTCACTCTTGCAAGCTTCTGGAAAAATTCCCAACTAGGCCTCAAAAAGCACCATATTTCTTTCATTCTAAGAGCACACTTCTTTCACATTTCAATATTTCTAGAAAAAAGATACATTATATAATAGATGTATGTGTTTAGTATAGTGTTACCTTTTTTCTGCAATTAAAGCTGTTATTAACTCAACAATGTATCTTAAAACTGAAAGGATCTCAAAGTAGATAACTTATGGTCTTCCTTAGAAAAGCATTCTCTTCTTTTCCTAGTTACCACTTTATTTCTTCTGTTCAAACTGTTCTTTTGGCAAGGTTCGTCCAACAGTATTTACTAGATGGCTGTGACCTCCTTTTTTAGCATCTATTCTCTAACATATATTTTCTAGTATGAAAAATAAAAATAAAAGTTTAATACATTTTTTCATAACATAAGAATATACTTTATGTTTCGATAAAACATACAAGCATACACAAAGAAAATTCTTTAGACCCATTATTTGGGTCTAAATAATTGAAAACAAATGTTGCCTATTGACCATAGATAATAATCAAACATTACTGAACATTAAAAAAAGTAGAAAGCTTGGCACTTCTGAGTACTCATACTGACAAATCCTCTAGAAGTGCTCCACAATATGTTACTGAAGTTATCAGCTTTGCCTTTTGCTCAGTCGTTTTAGTTTTATATATTTTGGATGATTGCAGATGGTTTGCATAATATCTTAAAAATGAAACTAAAGTAGGCCATTGGCAGAGTCTGATAAGTATCCAAACTTATCAGATACTTTCTGAGAAGAATTATAACAGATATCTGTTAGTTTTTTAATCAAGATCACCCATTTTTAAAGATAAATAATGCTGCTAGAAATCCAAGTACATATTACACATACCACAGTAGGAGTTATGAAAATCCCTGGTAAGTGTAAGATTGAACAATATGAAATGGCATTTTTGTAGGTTAAACACAGTCAAATATTAGCAATTTAATATGATTCAACTTAATAAAATAATTTTTGCAAATTCTTTTTAAATAAAAAAGTTATAAAATGATGTTTTGATATACATTTATAGTGAAATAAATACTACAGTTAAGCAAATTTGCATATCCATTTCTTCACACAGTTACTTTTTGTGTGTATGTGGTGAGGTTACCTGAAATAATTTTAATAAACTAATCATACTTTGATGAGTCTAAATAAGAAATTGTACCTTTTACCTTTGACCTCATGTTGTAATAGCAACTTTTTTTTCTAGGTCTCATGTACCAGACGGTTCCACAGATTTTGAACTTGCCAGCCACCACAATCATGTGTGCCAATACTTTAAAATAAATCCCCCCTCCCATATAATATATGTATATATATGACATGGTTTGGCTTTGAGTCTCCCCCCAAATCTCATGTTGAATTGTAATTCTCAATGTTGGGGGTAGGGACCTGGTGGGAGGTGATTGCATTATTGGGGTGGATTTTCCTCTTGGTGTTCCCATGATAGTGAGTGAATTTTCATGAGATAGGATGGTTTAAAAGTGTTTGGAAGTTCCCCTTTTGCTCACTCTCTCTTGTGCCACCATTTGAAGATGCGTTTGCTTCCCCTTTCCCCTTTTGCCATGATTCTAAGTTTCCTGAGGACCCCCAGCCATGCTTCCTGTATAGCCCGCAGAACTGTGAGTCAATTAAACCTCTTTTCTTCATAAATTACCTGTCTCAGGTAGTTTTTTATAGTAGTAGTGTGAGAATGGACTAATACAGAAAATTGGTACCAGAGAGGTGGGGCATTGCTATAAAAAATACCTGAAAATGTGGAAGAGATTTTGGAACTGGGTAACTGGGAGAGGCTGGAACAGCTTGGGGAGCTCAGAAAACAGAAAGATGAGGGAAGTTTTGGAACTTCTTAGAAACTTGTTGGATGGTTGTGACTGAACTGCTGATAGTGTCTTGATATGATTTGACTCTGTGTTCCCACCCAAATCTCATCTTGATTTGTACTCCCATAATTCCCACATGTTGTGGGAGGGATCCGGTGGGAGATAATTTGAATTATGGGAGCAGTTTCTCTCATACTATTCTCATGGTAGTGAATAAGTCTCATGAGATCTGATGGTTTTATCAGGGCTTTCTGCTTTTGCATATTCCTCATTTTCTCTTGCTATCACCATGTGAGAAGTGCCTTTCGCCTCCCGCTGTGATTTTGGCCTCCCCAGCCATGTGGAACTGTAAGTCCAATTAAACCTCTTTTCTCAGTCTCGTGTATGTGTTTATCAGCAGCGTGAACACGGACTAATACATGTGTAAAATGTGTTTTATCCTGCTGCTGAAGACCTAATACTCTCTCACTGATTGCTATTCTCTTCCAGGTAACTACTTAGAGCAGGGATATTTTACTTATTTTTGAGAGCTATAATCGCTATCATAGTCTGTTGAGTAAATGACTTCTAGTTACTGTTAATAAGTTTTAAAATACATTTAATTTCCCATAAGGGTAAATTAACATGTATTTACTTAGCATTCCTTATGAATTGGACACCGAAATGAGACACAAGGTTGTGTGATATATGGATTTATCATTGTCCCTCTCTTTCTTCACTTTCAAAGCCAAATTAATAAGAAAATCATAAAAGATGTTGTCTCAACCACTTCAACTTTTATTTACTCCTTAATTTTTTGTAGTCTCAGCAATGTAACAAGATGTAACAGTCTCTTGTTGTCTGAGATAACGCCCAGAGTTTTTTCTTCTACCTCCAAGAAAATTAAAGAGTGTGGACACAAAGGTGAGGTTAGAGTGAATGTTTAATAAGTGAAAGAAGAAAGCTCTCTGCCAGCAGAGAGGGGGGCCTGAATGGAGTGCCGCCTATGAGGCTGAGGTCCAGGGATTTTATGGACTGGGAAGGGGAAGGAATGTGCTTAGTCTGCGGGCTGTCTTGGAGAATGTGTAACTTAGCATGGCCCAGGGCCTTGGCCCGGGACCAATCAGGGGCTGAAGTGATGATTCATAGAGGCTGCTAAGCTTGGCCCAGGATCTGTCAGTAGTTGAAGTGAAAGCTTGACCTTGGATCTTGTCCAAGGACCAACCGTGGGTTGAAATGGTGATTCATGGAGGCCGGACACACAGTCAAAAAGGAAAGAACCCACTGTGCCCATGCCCACAAAAGGAGAAGAAACTTTTCTTGGGAACATGCAGACTATACAAAGGCCATAGGCATTTCTATGCCAGGCCTTGTTCACTTATCTGAGTGAACTGGAGGTTTGTGCAAGTTTTTATCCAAATGGTCCTGAGGTTTTTCTATCTGTGCAGCTGTGAGCCTGTCTCTAGGCACAAAACCCTGTGCGAGTTCCCTTATCTGTGCCTGCAGCCTGAATTCTTCCCCAGACTGCTTTGTATGTCATGTGGGGATGAGGCACTGACCCATGGACCGGGGGGTCTCCAGGGACCCTTCCCTTGCTATCTACCTAAGGCAAGCTAACTAACTCCTTTCAAATTCACTGAGATTCAAATTATTCTTGTTATTCCACTGAAACTATTTACTTCAAGTGAAGTAGTGTTAATCCCCATGTTGCTCTCTCTATATATACGTCTTACTTGAACTTCCTGCTTTCCATATCTAGGCATATTAATTAACATATAATAAATTATTTAGCTCAATAATGAAGGCTCTGAATTGGATTATCTGAGTTATTTGGGTTAGTTAAATAAATTGTGACATAAAGTTGAACAGAAATATCTACCTCTTTATAGCCTCCATTTTGAGTATTTTGGGAGTTTTCATAGGATCTCCTTTAGGCTTTATTTATACACCTTAGTTAATAAAAGAAAATAACATTGTGTGAATGTGTGTGTTTACAGTTGTATATCTCATATTGTGCCTAGACTGGTTTGGCAAAGAAATTGTAGGCCAGCCAAAAATGAGTTGGTGGAAAATTGAATTCTAAGTTGCAATAGGCATGTTCTTGCAACTTAAAGCCCATGAAAATAGTATCTTCTTTTTTTGAGATGGAGTCTCTCTCTGTCACCTAGGCTAGAGTGCAGTGGCACGATCTTGGCTCACTGCAACCTCTGCTTCCCTGGGTCAAGCGATTCTCCTGCCTCAGTCTCCTGAGTAGATGGGATTATAGGGGTGTGCCACCAGGCCCGGCGAATTGTTTTGTATTTTTAGTAGAGTCAGGGTTTCATCATGTTGCCCAGTCTGGTCTCGAACTCCTGACCTCAAGTGATCCACCCGCCTTGGCATCCCAAAGTGCTGGAATTACAGGCATGAGCCACTGTACCCAGCCGGAAATAGTATCTTGAAGGGAAGTTTACCTTTGAGTACTATTTGTGAGGAAATTACTTGCATAGGTCAGCAGTTGGTTGCTTTATGGTTTAGGTGCAGTTCTAAACTTCAATAAACTTTTCCCATTATTGCAAGTTTCATGCAATACTCTATGGTAATTTTATTTTGTTCAACAATGAGTTTCACATTTAGAGACTGTAATAACGTAACTTCCTAATTTTTTTAAAAGTTCTTCAGGACAAAAGACAGTATATAATGTGAGCGTGAGATAAGTGGAATAATTTAAAATAGAACTCAAATGTTGTTAAATATATACAGCTAGAAACATTACACATGAACCCTATTGACAAGCATTTTAATGAACAATATTTAAAGCTCTTCTTGCTTTCAAACATACGCAGGAAAAACAGAAGAACAAAGCTGAATGATGTTGTAAATAAAATAAACAGGTATATTGCCTTAACACAACAGTGACAGTAGCACTACGTGAAGAAACAGACAAAATACATATAAAATATAAGATCCCTAAGACATTATAGTCTGGAGATAAGAAAATGGCTTGGATAGTTAATGCTATTAAAACGTAGACAGGGCTTCAGTCTCAGTACCATGGTTATCTTAAACAATACCCTGCCATTACAATGTAATAAAAATTTGCTAGCTTAACAAACTGCTTACTATTCAAAGGCAGAAAAAGAGTGGAATTTGTCATATATATGCAATCAAATGACCTTGGACACTTCTGCATAACTGAAAATATATTAACAGCAGCTTTAAAGATTGTATAATTCTTAGTTTGTCTCCAGAAGTCAATTTGAAAAGCAACAAAGAAAAACAAATTTAACATTAATTTAAGAAACATTTATAAAATGTCTATGTATGTACCAGGCACTGGGAACAGTATAATGAATAAAACAATAGTCTTTCAACATTCTTGTGATGTAAATACTAATGTCTTGATTTTACTGATAAGATAAGAAGTTTCCCTAAGGTAACTCAACTGCCTTAGTCTGACTCTAAAGCTCTGGTTCCTTCCAGTAGCTGTTTCCCAGTACTTTGAGACAGCCTCAAATAATAATATTGATGGCAGTGGCTCCACCCTCCTGGGCGGGGCTACAGCCACCCAAACTGCAGCTGTGCATCCCAGCCTCCTTGTGCTCTTGGGGGAGGGCCAGGAGCAGGCAGGATCTGCCTTTCCAGGTGTGGCTGCAGCCACCCTCCCAACAGCAGCAGCCAGGTGTCTCTGCAGCATGCACTCTTGGGAGCCACAGGAAGGACCCCCATGTCTCTGCAGGCTTGGGGGTGTCTGTCTCACCTCTCTCCACTCTCAGCACCTGCTCTGATCTCACAGTGAGGGTTGGGGCCGAGCCCAGGATCCATGAATGGAGGCTGGAGGCAAATTGATTCCTGGGCAGAAGGCGGATCCCCAGTAAGGCCCCATATTTGGGTCAGGGAGGGCCTGAAGGCTAGGGACAAGGCTGCCAGTCCCGCGGACCACAGTGGGGACTCATAGTGCCTCTTTGGGGCCAACCCATGGTTGCCCATGGACCAGTCAGCATGCATTTCCTTGCCTCTGATGTCCATAAAAGCCCTGGGCTCAGCCAGAGCAGGGCAAAGGATGGCCAGAGGACAAAGAGGGCAGAGAGACGATGAGAGGACCAGCTGCAGAGAGGAGTACTTTCACTGCTGATAGCTGGAGATGATGGGACAGCCAGCTGCATAGAGTAGTACCCTTTCCGCTGAGAGCTGCAGAGATGATCTGCCAGCAGAGAGGAGGTACCCTCTCTGCCAAGGGCTTCAGAGACCTGCAGAGATGTCTGAATGACTTGCCTGTGGAGAGGAGCCACCCTCTCCAGGGCCTCCTCTCTGCTGAGAGCTGACACTCAATGGACGACCGACCTACAGAGAGGAGCTTCCCACTCCATTGAGCTGTTCTAACACTAAATAAAACTCTTCTTCTTCACCCTTCACTTGTCTGTGTATCACATTCTTCCTGGACACAGGATGAGAACTTGGGCAAAGGTGCCACCACCACAGATGTTTCTGGCCAGAAAAAATCGACACTCCAGAGATCCCATAACAACATAATTGAGGATGCACCTCCAAATGATAATAACTTGTATAGATCAATTATTAATTTGTGTAACAATGCTTCAGTTTCATTTAAAATTGAATGAAATTCTGACTGCTCATCTTCTATTATAGTCAGATGACCTACCCTTCAACCATTTTAAGTTCTCACAGTGCCTCAAAAGTGCCCTGCTCCTTCTCACTTCTAACCTTTGAAACAGAAAGTTCCCAAGGCTTAAAGTTGTTCCTCTTAACCTCAACCTCCTCTTTTTCAGGTCTCTAACCTAAATGACATTTACTGCCACAAATCTTGCCTAAACACTGCTTCCCTCTGGCCCCGGCACATTGTATGTTAGGTGTTCTGGATTCATGCTTGTATAGAATAGCAACACATACTTTTCCGATCACAGCCCCTAATGCACATTATTATAATTATCCTTTTCACAATACCATAAATTTCATAAAGCACCTCATTTGCTAAATTGCATGACATTTACTTTTATTTTGGGTTTTGAGTATTTTGAGGAGCCTTTGTGAAAGACATGTGATATGAGGTTAGACATAGTCTTTAGAAAGGCAGGTAGGATTTAACCATGTAGAGGAATAAAGAGAGAGTTCCCATATCTTTGAGGAAGGACATAGAGATGCAAGTTAGCAAGGCACATGTGGAATGTTGTGGACCAGTGGATATCACCGAAGTAAAACTCTAATCTTCGGGGAAAAAAAGTGAAATATTGTTGAAGAAGTTAGCTTCTCAACTTCTTGAAGAATTTGGCTTCTCAACATTGATCTTTTTAGTATTTCTTTTTGTTACTATGTGCTAGACACAGTATTGGTGTTGGAGGTATAGTGGTAAATAAGATCGACTTTGACTTCAAAAATCTTCAGTCTATTGAGAGATAGAGACAAGCAAACAGGAAAAATTCAAAGCACTGTGTATAAAACTAACACAAGGTTATATGGGAACGGTGAGGGTGACAAAGATTTAAGAAACAAGTGGAAGTGTTTGAGATACAGTGAGACAGGTTATAAGAAGCTTTGTAGTTTCTCTAGTGTGAGGACATGAATGGTTGCCATCATAGAACTGTTCCAGATAGAAGGTATCCAAGTTACCGGTGGCAAATCCGTATGGATCTGCAGTAACGTCAATTCTTGACTCTTCAGAAGATACAATTAGGCTGAGGGGTATAAGGCTGAAAAAGAGACTGGGGCAAATTTGAGAGCAGAAGTGGAAGTTTGTTTAAAAAGGCTTAAAACAGAAAAGGAAAGAAAATATGCTTGGAAGAAACCCAAGCCGGTACGTGAAGGTCAAGTCTAGTGTTTATCCTTGATTCTAGGACTCTATGGGCTGTCCCCTTTCCCATGATTCTTCCCTTAGGGAGGGCTGTCAGCATGCACGGTACCCTCCTTACCCTTGGGAGGTGAGCACGCTTGGTGTGTTTAGGGAGTTGTACACATGCCGATCTGAAGTTTCCCTTTTCTGGTGGAGTGCCCCCGGAAGATCATACTCGGACATTTTGTCTCTTAATGTGCATGCCCGGACTCACTTGCCCAATACCTGAGATTTTATTGGAAAGCCTTTTTGCTTCTCCCTGTCACGTGCATTCAATTAATACTTTAATTGTGGGAACCCACATGTGTTAACAGCTTTGGATCAGCAGGACATTGTATCTCCCTGGCACTAGCTGCTAAATTATCATTTTTGGAAAGGCAATGTGATAATTGTCAAACCATCACCCTATTAGATTGCCTGACATTCCTGATGGATGGGTGGCAAGAACCCTCTTCTTCCCCACTCATGCCTGTCTAACTGTAACAGAACCGCTGTGTTTAAACATTAGTTTGGCAACTAAGGGGTGAATGTGACGGGACAGACTATATATCAGAAGCAGAGGTTCCTATATGTGAAGCAGGTCAAGATTTTCTAAGTTAGAAACTGGGAAGGTAAAGGGAAGACATGTGGATTTCTCCAATAATCTATCAAGCTTCCCCTTCTCCCTGGGGGTGGCAGGGGTTGCGGGGGTAGGGGGGACTTGGGAGGCTTTATCTGTTTGTTTTCATGCTCTCTCAAAAATGGATTTCTGGTACAAGAAAAATTCTGAGAAACCATACATATAATTCTTTGTCATCATAATTAAATATTTTATATATGTATCTTAAATTTTTAGCAATCTCTCTGACTAGGTAAATAGATAAAAGCTATATATAAGTTATTAAAATAACAGCATTGATTTTGAGTCCATTAAAAAGTCTTTTGAACCTTATCCAGCATACTCACTAGCTCGTATGAATTATATTCATCTTAAAGTGCCCTTCACTACCTTCCCCCAAAACTTGGAAATAAGATTAGTAAGTGAATGGCCAGTTGTCCTGTATATTTTAGAATAAGAACACAACTTAGAGTCCACAACTGGTCTGTTACTCCCCTAAATCAACCTTGCTAAGTTTTTTGAGACTTGACAGGGAAAACAAATTTCTAATGCATGTACATCCTTCCTGAAAAGATTCCATGTTTTCAAGAAAGGATATTATTTTTGAGCGAATAATATGAAGAGGAAGGAAAGGGGGTCACTTATATAGTTGAATAAATCAGCTCAGTCGACAATCCTGGTGAGTAACGGAGAGTCAAATAATGCATAGGGAGTACTTCTGGGTCCTGGTTGGCTATCCAGAAATAATGTTAACAGCTAATTACATATCCATATATAGGGAGCCAGGGCAAAATGAAAAAAAAAAAGTACTCGCAATTTGTTTTGAAGAAATGGTCAGCCATGACCCTGAATGAGTTTGAGGTTTCCAAACACAAACAAAAATTGTGTTCTAATTATAACCAATCCATTTTCTTGAAATTTTATTAATCAAGTTATAAAATCCAATTTATTATCTTCCTTGTTTCTTCGTTAGTCCTGTTTGTTGTTTTGTAAAAATTTTTACAGGTATTTTGATTATTGAAAAAACTATCATCTTTGCAGTATATTATTAACGTCACGTTATTCCTTATTTCTATAGTTAAATTGGCTTACATGTGTAATTTTCTCTCAATATAGATTCTAAGATCCATGAAGACAGTTACCTTGTCATAATGGTTTATCTTGATATTTAAAGTCCAAATAATTACTTATCATTTCTTGGTAGCTTTCAATATATGCAAAACATTTAAAATAAATTTTGAGTTTTTGAAAGAAATTTAAAGATGTATGGCATATCAAAAGATCAGATATTTTTAAAGTTTATTTCATGTTCTTACAAATGTATGAAAACATTTCTCAAAGCATCAGACTAATTTTCACTCTTGTGATATCTTTGGAATTTACATAGCATTCTCTCTGAACAAGTCACTAGCAATCTATATACTCTTTATTAAAATTGCAAAATAATTATGAGATCAGTGCATCCAGAAATAATTCTTTAAAAAAATTTGTGATACACTAGAGCTAATTTTCCTAGAATAAATTATTAACCTGTGTATAACATATAGCTAATAATAATAAGTTGTTTAAAATCAATTTTAAAATAAATTATGTTATACCAGTGAGCCTAAGCAGTAATACCTCTGAGATGAAAATATTTAGTAACTTTATATAGAAGTATTAAAACTTTTAAAATATCCCAGGTATTAATGTATATTTTGATTGTGTATTATTGGCTGTGTATTCAATCTCTATGAACGAAAGTACATTCTGGTGAAAATTCATTTTCACAAACTTTTTCAGACCACTCTCATGACAGGGTAAATGATTCATTCCTGAGCAAGAAATTAATAGGATTTAGTCCTGAAAGCATATCATAATATAGAAGTAGGAAAAATGCTAAAATCCACCTGTCAGGAAATTGAATCCACAATCTACTCAAACAATGAAATGTTATCTTTCAATCTCAGGAAATTATGGAACTGTGGATGTGACAGAGCCATTGCTGAAAAATATGTTTGTTGGCAGGTAAGGATGGAGAAGTGTATCTGTGGGGAGGGATAGTATAAACTATGATAAGTAAATTAGCAATATAATGTAAAATACTCATTCCAATGTATAATCCAGTTTTGAAATTTTATATATCCCAAACATTAAATAAGACATTTTATTTGATACTTTTAATACCAAGACTACCTTGTTTACAGTTAAATGTTGAATAAATACACTTCATTTATTTGCTTATCTTTTTGATGTCATTTCAATTAAACCATTTACTTACCTGAAAAATGGCTAAGAACCAAGCATGTAACTGATAAGAAACTTATGAGAAACTAATATTATTTGTCAAAATATATTCCAAACTATTTGGCTTCAATATACTTTTGTGAATATTCACTTTTAGATTTCCCTATATATTTTTCTAGTCAAAATTAACTTCTTATTGAAGAAAATCTTATGACTCCTACTCTAATTTTACAGCGTACTTGAATGAATAGACTTATTTATGGTGAACAGTAAAGAAAAGTGAAAATTAATTTTTCACGAGCATTTTTACTTGATTTTTAAATTTTCTGTGGATATATTGTTCCTGAATTATTCTGAAAGCTTTCACAACTCTAGCTTACTGGCACATTGATCTCATTCTCTTCACAATGGTGGTGCAACAGGAATAACCAATAAATTTAGAGCTATGTTCCTTGCCCATTGGACATATGGCTAGACTATCCTGCTCTCTGAGTGCCAAGATACATAGTGACAGACTTTTTGACCCATGATCAAACATTTTGATTCCCCATTGCTACTAAACATTTTAGTATGTACTCAAGTGAATATTCTTCTCCTTTGAGTTATTTAATCCCTAAAACAGACTCTCATTTCACAGTGCATGAAGACTACTTAAAGGAATTAAGAGGTTGGGTTATCAAATTGCTAAAGTCTTCATAAAATGTGAATGCAATTAATTAATTTCACAGAGACAGATTTTACTCTTAGAGACGCCTATGCTTAAATAATGTGGTCACACTTCAGATCACCATTTCTAAACATAAATGTTTATTCCCTGAGTGAACTGAATTCGAGACCTCTCCTTTGGCACCCTCTTTGGCAATACAAATGTATTAGTCAGTAATACAAATGTATTATTAGTCATGCTACTGTTAAAGACATACCCAAGACTGGGCAATTTACAAAAGAAAGAGTTTTATGGGACTTACAGTTCCATGTGGCTGGGGAGGCCTCATAATCACGGCAGAAGATGAAAGGCATGTCTCACATGGAGGCAGACAAGAGAAGACAGCTTGTGAAGGGAAACTCCTCTTTTTAAAACCATCAGATCTCCTGAGATGTATTCAATATCACAAGAACAGCACAGGAAAGACCTGCCCCCATAATTCAACCACCTCCCACCGGGTTATTCCCACAACCCATGGGAATTGTATGAGTTACAATTCAAGAAGAGATTTAGGTGGGGACAAAGCCAAAGCTTATTATTCCACTTCTGCCCCTCCCAAATCTCATGTTCTCACGTTTAAAAACCAATCATGCCTTCCCAACAGACCCCAAAGTCTTACCTTGTTTCAGCATTAACTCAAAAGTCCACAGTCCAAAGTCTCATCTGAAACAAGGCAAGTCCCTTCTGCCTATGAGTGTGTAAAATCAAAAGCAAGTTAATTACTTCCTAGATACAATGTGGGTACAGACATTGGGTAAATGCAGCCATTCCAAATGGGATAAATTGGCCAAAACAAAGGGGCTACAGGCCCCATGGAAGTCTGAAATCCAGCAGGGCAGTCAAATCTTAAAGTTTCAAAGCAATCTCCTTTGACTCTATGTCTCGCATCTAGGTCACACTGATGCAAGATGTGGGTTCCCATGGTCTTGGGCAGCTCCACCACTGTGGTTATGCAGGGTGTAGCCTCCCTCCCGGCTGCTTTCATAGGCTGCTGTTGAGTGTCTGCAGCTTTTCCAGGCACACGGTGCAAGCTGTGGGTGGGTCTACCATTTTGGGATCTGGAGGACGGTGGCCTTCTTCTCACAGCTCTACTAGGTGCTGCCCCAGTAGAGAATCTTTGGGGGCTCTAACCACACATTTTCCTTCTGCACTGCCCTAGCAGCGGTTCTCCATGAGAGTCTTACCCCTGCAGCAAACTTCTTCCTGGGCATCCAGGCATTTCCATACATCTTCTGAAATCTAAGTGAAGGTTCCCAAACCCCAATTCTTGACTTTGTGCACTCACAGGCTCAACACTACGTGCAAGCTGCCAAGGCTTGGGGCTTGCACCTTCTGAAGCCACAACCTGAGCTCTATGTTGGCCCCTTTCAGCCATGGCTGGAGTGGCTGGGATGCAGGGCACCAAGTCCCTAGACTACACACAGCACAGGGACCCTGGGCCCCACCCACGAAACCACTATTTTCTCCTAGGCCTCCAGGCCTGTGATAAGCGGGGCTTCTGCGCAGACCTCTGACATGCCTTGGAGACATTTTCCTTATTATCTTGAGGACTAACATTCTGTTCCTCATTACTTATGAAAATTTCTGCAGCTGGCTTGAATTTCACCTCAAAAAATGGGATTTTATTTTCTATCGCCTTGTCAGGCTGCAAATTTCTCAAACTCTCATGCTCTTTTTCCCTTTTAAAACTGAATGCCTTTAACAGCACCCAAGTCACCTCTTGAATGCTTTGCTGCTTACAAACTTCTTCTGCCAGATTCCCTAAATTACCTCTCTCAAGTTCAAAGTTCCATAAATCTCTAGGGCAGGGGCAAAATGCCACCAGTCTCTTTGCTAAAACATAGCAAGTCACCTTTGCTCCAGTTCCCAACAAATTCCTCATCTCCATCTGAGACCATCTCAGACTGCACCTTATTGTTCATATCACTATCAGAATTTTTGTCAAGGCCATTCAACAAGTCTCTAGGAAGTTCCAGACTTTCCCACATTTTCCTGTCTTCTTCTGAGTCCTTCAAACTGTTCCAACCTCTGCCTGTTACCCAGTTGCAAAGTTGCTTTCACAGTTTTGGGTATCTTTTCAGCAGAACCCCACTCTAGTGGTAGCATTTTTCTGTATTAGTTTGTTTTCATGCTGCTAATAAAGACATACCCAAGACTGGGCAATTTACAAAAGAAAGAGGTTTATTGGACTTACAGTTCCACATGGCTGGTGAGGCCTCATAGTCATGGTGGAAGGTGAAAGGCACTTCTCACATGGCAGCAGACAAGAGAAGAGAGCTTGCAGGAAAACTCCCCTTTTTAAATCATCAGATCTCACGAGACTCATTAACTATCATGAGAACAGAACAGGAAAGACCTGCCCCCTTAATTCAATCACCTCCCACCAGGTTCCTCCCATGCCCATGGGAATTGTGGAAGTTACAATTCAAGATGAGATTTGGGTGGGGACACAGCCAAACCATATCAACAAAAAACCATTAAATTATAAAATTCTTAGGTCTATAATGTTATGTCAGAAGAGTGAATGATACATTCTTAAACCTAATATTTTTCTAAGTAATTTCTAAAACTTCCACTTTTGTCCAACAGGTTAAATCTCCCTTTATATAATTGAATTAACAAACTGGCACTATTAATCACAATTGACTAGGTTACCACAATTTGTTCAGTAAAATTTTTGTTCGAAATATGAATGCCAATATGAATACCAAAATTGAAAGAAGAATATTTAGTTGGATCTGGAGTCTGCCTTTCATGAGATGTGTGACTTTGGACAAAAGCTAAGGGAGGCTTTTTTAAAAAATCCATATCCTGTATACATTGTAGCATATTGGTCCAGACAGAGAAGAGGCATTGATTCTGAATGTCTTGGCTTGAATATTAGTCCTATGACTGACTAGTGATATAACCTTGGAGAAATGATTTAATCTTTCTATGCTTTAGTTTTCTTATTATGAAATAGAGGTAATAAGAGGGTTTTGAGTATTAAATGAGTTAATGTGTATTAAGTGATTAGAACAATACTTGGCATATAGGAATCAATAGAGAATTATTTGGTGCTATTTTTATTGTCATTGTTGATGTTATTATTATTATTATCAAACTTTGGTTGGCAGGTGAATCTGTATGGCCTTTGTAATGACTTGTAATCTACTACTTCCTCAGCCACTTTTAAAAAATTTTTAAATTATATATTAAAAAAATTATAGTTTTATATATTTATGGGATAGAAGGTGATGATATGACTTTTTAATACAACCTGGAATTATTAAATAAAGCTAATGAACCTATCCATAACCTCAAATATTTGACATATTTTATTCTAAGAACATTTGAGATTTACTCTCTAAGCAATATTGAAATGTATAGTACTGAAATATCAACTATATGCATTATGCTGTGCAACAGATCTCCACAAAAATAAAGCTTATTCCTTCTATCTAATTGAGTATTTGTCCTCTTGGATTGCCATCTCATTCCCTCCAGCCTCCGCCTTCGTCAACCCCCACTCTAATCTCTACTTTTATGAGTTTGGGTGTGTTAGATTCCACATATAAGTGGAAACATATGGTGTTTCTTTCTGTGTTTAGCTTATTTCATTTAGCATAATGACCTCCAAATTTCATCCATATTGTTAAAAATGACAGAATTTCTTCCATTTTAAAGGCTGAATGGTATTCCATCAGTCACTTTAATATCATGACATCTGGCTGTAATTTCTCTCTACTCATCTCTGTCACCACAATCCACTGTTCACTTGGCTATTCTGCTTCATTTACTGAATCACAGTTTATTAGTTTGCTAGGGTTGCCATAACAAACAGCCACCGGCTTCATGTCTTTAAAAAAAACCACAAATTTATTTTGTCACAATTCTGGAAGCTGTAAGTCCAAGATTAAAGTACCAGTAGGGGAGGTTTCTTCTGAGATGTTTCTCTCTCCTTGGCTTGTAGATTGCTGTCTTATCTCTGTGTCTGACAAAGAGTCTCCTTGACCAAACTTTAGTGACATTCCTCTGAGCCCCTTTTTTCAGCTAGACCTTGAGCTTGCCCAATTTCTTTTTAATTTTTGTCAGGCTTGCATAACGTACTTTTAGCAAGAATCCTGATTAGTCATTTAAGAGATAATACCCCACCCTTGATATCAGACCATGTTCAACATCCCCCACCTTTAATGTCTAAGTTCTTGGCCTGCATTCAGAAAGAATCCTGTTAAGTTGGTTTAGCAAGAATCTCCTTAGCATTGCCTTTTAGTAATTTTCCATCCACTGGCCCCTTCAGTCTGCTGATTGGCTATAAATCACCAACTGTTTTTAAATTTGAAATTGAGCTCAATCTTGTCTTTCCTAGTGCAATGACCTTGAAACCTTAGTGTTTTAACAAGTGTCAGAATATTTTTTCTTTAACATGGGTTCACATAGTCTTTTCTCTGTATGTATCTGTGTCCTAATCTCCTCTTCTTATAAGAGGTCACTCTAACGACCTAATTTTTTCTTAACTACATCTTTAAAGACCCAATTCCAAATGCAGTCACGCTCTGAGGTACTAGGGCTTAGGAATTTAACATATCAACTTTGAGAATAGACACAATTCAGCCCATAACATGTGTATTCTTTTTTAATGCAAATCCTCACACACTCTCAGTAATTTCAAAATCCAGGTTAACAATACATAAATCACCCTTTAGTCTCAGTTTCTTTAAACTTCTCATTTCTAATGGCCTTTTTCTCCACTCAATAGCCACCATTCTCACTGTCATACCATGAACGTTGTCATCATCCTGAACTACTGTAGTTACTAAATCACTAGTTCAAACCTCCTACTTTGATCAACATTTATCTTTCCAGGCTATTTTCTAAACTCTTCCTATTATTATTCTTGTCCCTTATCAGGACTAGCATTCTAATGACCTAATTTTGTATCCATCATCCTTCTTTTGTTTTCATTTTATTCTCTATTTCAGATGCTGTGGTTTGTTATTTTAATTACTCTCATGCCAGTACCTAAACCTCCTCTGTCATTTGTTATATGTACCTGAAAAATCTCTGACCCAGGTAGCCAAATGTTGGTAAAAACACATAATGGAAAATTTTCTTTCTTTACTTTTTTCTTTTCTTCTTTCTTTCTTTCTTTCTTTCTTTCTTTCTTTCTTTCTTTCTTTCTTTCTTTCTTTCTTTTTCTTTCTCTCTCTCTCTCTCTTTCTTTCTTTCTTTCTTTTTCTTCAGAGTCACTCTCTGTCACCCAGGCTGGAGTGCAGTGGCATGATCTCGGCTCACTGCAACCTCTGCCTCCTGGCTTCAAGCGATTCTCCTTCCTCAGCCTCCCAAGTGGCGGGGATTACAGGTGTCTGCCACCACGCCTGGCTAATTTTTGTATTTTTAGTAGAGATAGGGTTTTGCCATGTTTGCCAGGCTGGTCTTGAACTCCTTACCTCAGGTGATCTGCCTGCCTCCATCTCCCAAAGTGTTGGGATTACAGGCGTGAGCCACCGCACCCAGCTAATGGAACATCTTCATCGCTAAAAGTTCATAGTCACCAAACTAAACTGAGCCTTAAACAGTACTAAATAATTTACTAGAGTTGTCTGGCCAAATCACTCCTCTAATTTGCCTGAGAACAATATTATACCTCTTTCTCCTACACACTCAGTTTTTTGTCTTCTGGATTTAACAAAATCCTTAGGTAAAAAATGCCTTCATAGTTCTGCCACTAAATATGTCCTCACCCGTCTCTCTCCTCTTGTCTTCCTCCTACACAAAAACTATTCTTCCATCTGTGTTCTGGTTCTCTTTCCCTTGGTTTTCTCCAGAAACTTACATTACTAGTCCCTGTTTCTCTTATATCTTTTCTTCTCTCCCTCTACTGAGTCCTCTTTTTAATTATTTTAGAGTCTCTCCCATTAAAATCAAACAGATTTCAACTACTTTTCTTTCTCATAGCCCCATTTTCCCAACACAGACATACTACTGTCAGCTAAATTTCCCAAGACTTGTCTCCTTTAATTCCAAGGGACTCCTCAGTACCCTAAATATGGCTTTTATTTCTAACATAAGACTAAGATTATTCTTTCTTAGGTTACTGTTGACCTTCATACTTTTCAATCCAATGAAAATATTTCAGCAATTTTAATAACAGCTCACTTGTACATAGTTTTAAAGGGTATACTTTTCGAATATTTTATATTCATTTATTATAAACATTTACCCAGTATATTATTTTTTCCAGTTAATACAAGTAGGTATTTTTCTTATACCTACTCTTCATATATTTTTTTTTTACTTCTGACAAAGTCATCCTATACCAAGTGGATTTTCAGCAGCACAACAAGAAAAGATCTTCACACTGCTCAGAAATGTAAGCTTTGATCTGGCATATTATTTCCCAATTAATTTTTAGTCATGATTTTAGGGACACCTATTTCAGGTGAAATAGGTATAATTTGAGTGGTAATAAAAGATCAGCCACTAAAAAACATTCTTCTTCCGGGCATCTTGATACAATATTTGAATTTCTCACTAATTAGTCTTATTCCTTAAGGACCCTCTAGACATGAATGCATTATCATCTTTGAAATTAACGCATTGGGTTGCTTGGGAGAAGTAAGCTATCAGTTGCCTAATGTGTTTACAGAGAATGATCTGTGGGATCAACCCATTATCCGTCAAGTAAACAGGGTTCTAAGGAAATGCAATACTGAGAATCATTCTGAAAGGGGATTTCCAAGATTAGAAAAGGATCAGAAGTTGCCTTGCACCTTGGGAAAAGTATGTTGCCATGTACTAATCAATGGTGGCAAAAAGTAATAGAAGCCTTGATGTGATTGTGTATGTACATATCTAAATCTATATCTGTGTGTGTGTGTGTGTGTGTGTGTGATTGAATGTGTGTGTGTGTGTGATGAATGCTAAATAAAAACTGGAAATAGCAAAGTAAAAGGGATCATGTTTATACAAGAAATAACCCAATTGTAGTGCATATCCACGACCTATATGACTCAAACATAAGCATGAAGTATTTACAGTTAGAAAACTTGGAGTCTGACATCCCACTAGGCCAATGATTAGCTTGCAATCTTGGACAAAACGTAATTTGCACCATGTGGACGCACAAGAAATTTCTATTTGATTTTATTAAAATTGTACAAAAAGCAGATGTGCTAACACTAATCTCAAATCATATGTGAAAATGTATTTTTCTATTTTACTACCCTATACTCACAAATTTATTCTAACAGGAATTTTTTTTAGTGGTGACATGAATTAAATCATCATGACATGGAATAAAATTAATTGTAGATCTATTATGTTTTTATATTTGTTTTTACATTAGAAATAAATAGACTAAGGCATATTTGTTTTCATTAGTTAAATGCCTGTAATGTAATTGACATCAAAGTGCATGGTAGGGAGGAGTTAAGGGAAAAGGCTTTTTATTCATAATACTGTCTGCCTCCATTTCTGGTTCAGAAGAGCTGTAAAAATATTATTTATGACACTAGATTTTTGCAGATCAAAGTAATAAAATGCAAGTATATTTGTATTAGTTAAAACATAGATAAATATAAGTTAGGATCTGCATACTGCCTAATATGATAAAGATATTAGCAAAAATCTTAATAAATTATAAAATAGATAATAAAAAATGTTAGGTTTCTGTATATGTACACACACACACACACACACACACACACACACACACACAGTCACAGATATGGAACATTTGTTTCAAAGAAAACTGTCAAGGTGGAGAGTCCAGAAAACAGAGAAGATGGGTGAGGAAGATACATAGATAGATGGAAGAGAAAATAACTCTAACCCTGGGCTTGAATTGATAGACAAAGCTCCAAGCTATTGCTTCATGTATCAAACTACATCAAATTGAAGTTATAGAAATTTCAAGCACACCACTTCAAGATATGGCATTTTCACAGAGCCATTCAATGAACTTCTTCCACCTTAGAATGTTGTATATGGTAGCCCTACAATTGTCCTTATGTGCCATGAGCTCTTGAGAAGGGCTGGGGTTTGTTATGTCATCTATGAAAGTTTATTGCTCTTCTAGGGGCAATAGAAATAAGATACAGAGTAGGATGGAGAAAAAATAAACATGCTTTTGAAGAAAACTTACTCTTTTGCCTTTTGTTCTTGATGTATATATAATGTTAGGGCAAATGCTGTTGTTTACAAAGAAAATAAATTAAAACATTTAATTTGAGTTTTAAAAATTCAAACCCCAATATGGGTTGTTTTAATTTGCTATGGGAAAATTTAGTCAAAATAAAATGGTTTCCTCAGCTGCTAAATCCAAAATACTAAAAAAATTCTTAGATCCTTATCTATCAAGTGTCCTAGTTGTATATAGTGACTCAAAAATATTTCTGTAATTCTAGACAGGAGTTATATTAGTTTTTCTTAAAAACATGTATCAAGACTTCTGTTTCCAACAAGATGGAGTAGTTCCATTCTTTCCTCTACTCTTTACAGCTAAAAGCCTCTGAATACAAAACAACAAACGAGCATAGAAATATTAAGAAACAAGGCAAAGAAACCAGGGACATCTGTGTTGATGAATAATATGGTGGTGAGAGTGAGTTCCCTGATTTTCTTATTGCTTTTCATATATCCCACACAGAACACTGCAAAGACCTGCAACCTGGAACCACCAACAAACACAAACAAACAAAAAAGACCAAAAAGAAGCCTGTACTCCCTAACAAAGCAAAACAAAGAAACAAGCAGAAAGGGTGGTCTAACAACAGAAATCCTTTTTGGCATTACCTGCTCTATCTCCCCCATTCTCCTTACTCTTCCCCCCTCCACAGAATACAGGCAGTGCTTTTATTTCTCTGAAAGATGGTATCAGCAGGACAAATTAGAGTGAGCTAATCTCCCATGACACGGCAGAAGTAAAAGGCAGCAATTCAATTCCTGGCCGGGTGGTGTCTGAGGAGGAACCTGATATTCCATTCTCCAGTTACCAGTCTACATCACTGAACACCTGTTAAATTTCTTAGGACCATGTAAGAATTTATATAAATTAGACTAAACTATAAATTATTTGAGGACAGACAATATGTCATTTTTTCAATTACTGTGTACCCATCTGTAGCATAGTGTCTGGTATATAGCAGGCACTCAATATACGTGTTCTTGAATCAATAAATTAATTAACATTTGGTCATCTGTTGTCTGCATTTATTTTAGATGAAAATTCACACAAGTTGTCTAAGAAGCCTGAGCCAGAACATTTGAATTCATTTTAATTTATTATAGAGTCACATAGCTCTAATTGTAAAAAAAAAAAGTTCTGTCATCAAACAGTTATATTATCAAATAAAACTAATCCTCATTATTTCAGCATATGCCTTAACTACCTCAAGCCTTCCCACAGAAGTGTTAGTTCATTGAAAGAATGGTGAGAAAGACTATCATTAGATAACATTACACCATAGACTGGAAAATTCTCATGATACTGTTTTGTTTCCACTATCAACAATTCCCTGTACTCCCATTGTTCTTTTGTAACCAGCTTTGTTATTTCAGGGAACAGGCCATCAAAGGCTAGTTCCCCAACATATATCCGATGGTAGTAAATCTTTGTCTAAAATGTCATTCATAGGTTTAAAATTATTTTTTCCCCTGGCTCTTTAAATATCTTGTCAAATGCTTAATGTTTCCAATGACCCTTCACCAGAGTACTGTAGTCAGGATGACATCAAAAACTGCTGATTATTTCATTTTTTACAAATTGTCTTATTTCCTTTACTAACCCCAGGTTTACAGGAGATCATAAATGTGGTGCCAGGAAGTATCTAGGCTTTATGTAAGACTAAAAGTCTAGTTTTGACTCATGGAATTTGAATGTGCAAAAAAACTTACTTTGAAGAAGCAGTTACACAGAAAATTCCTAGACCAACCATATGAAAAATATAATTACATTTGGAACCTCACTCTAATGCCACCCTCCAATGCCACCCTTCAAATTAATGACTGACACTCATCTTATAATAGAGTTTTCTACTATTTTATAAAATTTAATTCTGTTAGATTTATATATACATATATTTGTGCACATTATATCAAAAACCAATAATATTCAACATAATCCAACTTTCCAAGGAAAATAAAAAGTTTAATTAGATAAAATTAAGATTCTCCCTTAATTTCTCCATATGTATGTTAATCTTTGCAGCATTCAGTATAAATCTCAGTGTTAGAAAAGAATTTGTTTATTTAATACACAGTATCTTTTTCTAACCCTTCTCTCATTCTGTACTGAAATACTGCCAGTGTAATACTTTGGGGAGCAATAAATTTAAAACATTTTATAGTTCTGCTGTAAATGCCATCTTTAGAATCGGGGAGAAGAGGGAAAGTAGACCCTAAAAGAGTGAAAATTGAGGTAGTGCATTTCTCTCCTATCTTCTGACGTACAGTGCTGTCTTCTGGTATGATTTTCTGTTTGTTTCTGGTTTTCACATAAACTAGAAGTACAGGGGAAAAAAGGGTAGTTACAGGAACACAGTACATTGCTGAACTTTATAAAAGTCTATCTATATTCCCAAATGTTAAGGTCAATATCAAATATTTGGCTAGCACACTGTTATCTTGTTTCAACGTCAATAGGCATTACAATCAGATACTTTTTCTTTATCTCTAGCTTAAACTTCCAACAAGGAGACACTTTTCTTCCTAGTCTGCCATGAGAGAAAATAAATAATAACATTTTTTGTTCTGCTTCCACTACCATAATTAAAGACTGTATTATCTTTCGATGCTTCTCTAGGTCAACAGATTTAAATGCTTGTAATCTCTAATCTTGTAGATTATTTCTCAATTTTGACCTTATATTTAGTTTTTCTTGATGTCCTTATAGTCTCTGCATTTTAATAGCATGCACATACTCTGAATATTTTACTGTCTCTCTTGTTAAGGAAAAATATTTTATCTATTAAAAACTCATTCAGGCATGACACATTTTAACTTTTCTAAATTTATTATAGAAATATAAATGTTGCTTTTAAGCAGTGGCATTAAATGTCCATTTTTCTGCTTTCATATACAGCTTCTTAATATTTACAACTGTTGTAATAATTTAACCAATTTTATTATTTATTTTTCACTTACTTCCAATAAAAACCATTTGACAAACTTGGCTAAATTTACCCACTTTATTGAATAATTAACAGTTCAAATTCAGACACTGTTTTAAGCATTAAGCCAAGTGAAAACAACATGCATTTTCAGATTTTTAAAAATATGAGTTCCCTCTCAAAGAAGTTTTAAATTGTATGCATTTTACAGTTAAAGGTTGTCAATTTTTTTAGGTCAGTCTTGATGTCTTTAATAGATAACATTTTATATAATGCATGCAGTAAGTGAAATTGAGAAAAAATATTAAATTGAGAAAAAACAGATAAAATTCCGATTAAAATACATCATGACAAAATTATGAACATTCCTTCTTAAATTTATATTCATGAAATTTTTAGCCTGTATACACTGTGAGTGAATTTCTGAGCTGGAAAATAAAACTAACTTCATATCAGGACTGAACTAGGTCAAAATATTTCAACAAAGTTTCAAATGCTAGCAAACAAAAGGCATGAATTTCAAAGATACTCATTGTGTATTATAGTTATTTAGCATTTAGATGGAATGTTTTATTTGCAATATGCTTATGCAAACAGTTGGTCATGCAAATAAATAATAAAAAGCAATATCAGCTATTTGTTATCAATTTGACCATCACTGACTATATTTTTTAATAATAAGGCACTGGTAAGAAAGTGATTACTGACTATGTCATATTGTGTTTTTCTTTGGTGAATTAGTGACACATCTATACTCTCCTTACATTTGTAAAGTATTTTTGGGGGATATACTTCCAATCTAACTCACTGCAGTAACTTTTCTCAGTGTCCAGCAGAACACCAGAACACTGTTATTGAAACTTCCTGTGTGAGTATCCTTAGTTGCAAAAGTACTGTAGCCACGTATACAAGTCAAGCTTGTAATTCATTATTCATAGTATTTTATACTTAATGGCCACTAAAAATATAATAATTATAGACTTAAATTCTGTTAGATTTTTGACAGCCTTATATGTCAGATTTAGCCTAATAAACATTGATATCTGATAGATGCAGCATATATAGGTTTAATGATGTCATAACAAGTTAACATTAAAATCTACAAAATAATTCAAAATAAAATGGCAAATGGTAGAGATAATTAAAAGTGACTAATTTATAAGAATGCAGGTATTCCTCAGGGTGATTCATTTTGAGCCCTAATGATGCCAAAGATGGCTACTATTTCCAGGAGCTACCTTCGGAAATTTAACAGAAACATGCATGACTGATAGGTCTCTTCTCAGGGAAGACATTATAGGGTCAACCCTTTTTTATTAACTCACATTTTAGAGACCCCAGTGAAAAACCTAGACGCATCCTAAAGTATTAAGATGGTCTACAAATCACTTCATCATACCCTGGTTTCTACGGGTTTAGTAGCATGATGATTTTAGGCCATAGGCAAAAGAGTAACTTTAGAACAGTGACAGAAAGTGCCGAAACGTGTTGCAAGAGCCAATTCTTCTTGGACTCCTTATGTTCCTATACATCTTGCTGAGTTACCAAGAATGACAAGCCCTAAATGCTCTTTACTATACCATTTTTCAAAGTTGAATTTACTACAAACAATCTTGAGGAATAAGGTAATATCTTCTCCACAAACCAGACAGAGTTTGATTGTTCACTGCTTGAAACAAATGTAGTGGATTTTCCAAGTACTGTTTCCAACTGTGATGCAAACTCCCTTGTCTGTATCCTTTTCGGACATACCACATTGCCCCTGTGGAAACTGTGGACAAGGGAGACCTACACAAAAATGTTGATGTTCAAGCTGCTTCCTGTGCCATGGGAAATAAAGTCTGCTCTCCCTGTCCCAGGAATTTTATGTGTTCTGCCAGCATCTTTGAAACAGTTACATGTGAACTCAGTAGCTAGTGAATAGGGTAAAATCAAATCCCAGGGATGACAGGAAACATTATCAGCATCACTTATTGGGGCTTTATCAAATCACATACCACTTTCGGGTACTCTACTTCCATCACCACCATTGTAATCATTATGAGAATCAATGCCAAGGGAGATGATTACTCACCATTTTTTATTGGTGAGATTTAAATCCCTCAGATGTGTTGAGATTCAAGAAGGCTGAGACCCACTGAGTTACCAAGTTGGCCTTTGTCCTTTTACCATTTCTGATTGGTAAACTTCACTCATTTTTTCTCTTCCTTTAATTCAGAAACCCAGGTTTTTCATAAATGAATGTGTTAGATCTGTATGGCCTTCACCATTTTTTAAAAAAAGAAATGATAATTTCTTAACTCAAAAACCACATTTAAAAGTAATGAATAAGGCCGAGCAGGGTGGCTCACACTTGTAATCCCAGCACTTTGGGAGGCGGAGGTGAGTGGATTTCTCGAGCCTAGGAGTTCGAGACCAGCCTGGATAACATGGTAAAACACGTTTCTATAAAAAATTGAAAAAAATTAGCCAGGTGTGGTGGTGCATCTGTAGTCCCAGCTACATGGAAGGCTGAAGTGGAAAGATCACCTGAGCCTGGATGGTTGAGGCTGCAGTGAGCCATAAGCATGCCACTGCACTCCAGTCTGGGCAACAGAGTGAGATCCTGTCTCAAACAAACAAACAAAAATGATAAATAGATTATGACAAGGTATATAAATTAGTGAAATTTCAACAGAAGGAGATCAATTACAATCTAATAGTGATTAGAAAACATACATGGAGGAGGCAAAGACTTTATTTATATCCTGACAGATGGGTGAAATTTTGATGAATACAAAAAGGAGTGAATAAATAGTTTAGGTAAAGAAAGTTGTTTGAGGAAAGTCATGGGAATGGGAAGATGTGAGACATTCCATAGGACAACAGGTAGATTCATTTCATTAGAACATCTCTCCATGGGAAGATTGGGAGGAAAGTTAGGAGGTATTGGTTAGGACAAATCTGGAAAGGCAAATAATATCTTGCATGCTTAATGCTATAAGTATGTAGATGCTATCTGGAGAAGCCATATTTAGGCCCGTGTGGGAAAGAGTGCTGCAAGTAATTAATAGACGTTTTAATGGGTTCTGGATTGTGATCATGGGGCACTCATGGCATATATTTGCAAGCTTCAAGATAAATTATAGAGCAATGGCTCCTCTTGTTATCCTTCATTTGTGCATTGTCTTACTACTTTCTATAATAACTTTGCAAGGTATGATTTAGGATACCCATTTGACAGTTGAGAAAAAACTGAGGCTTGGTAAGAACGAATTATTTGTCCCAAATCACACAGCTTATAGTAGAGGAGCTGAGGTTTGATTATAGATTTGTCTGATAATTGCATGCCTGAAAATTTTTTGAGGGGCATTGAGAGCCACTAAATACTTTCTAGCAGGGAACTTATGTATATAAAATAGTGTTTAGGAAATAGTAAGCTGGTAATAGTTTGCTGGGCCAATTTCAGAGGGCAAGGAGATGAAATAGCTAAGAGAATATTACAGTATACCAAGTATGATATAATAATGTTCTAACTAGTGTGGTAACAGAATGTGAAACAGAATGTACACTGATTAAACTGTGTAAAATGTGTGTACAGAGAAATAAGGACTGCAAGAGACATGGAAAACATTTAAAATGTGGAAATGAAAGAATTTTCTAGGTTTCTTTACTTTCTCTAAAAAAGTTATTAAATTTTATATAATATCTTATTATACATTGTTAACAACCTAGATTTAGTTGACTGAGTCAATAGTGTTATGTTCGTGCCAAACAAGTTAGTGACATTTTAGTCTCTACTGATAGATAGAAGGGGCCAACATCAAAAAATAATTGATGCAGCCAGAAACTTTAATCTTGTAAAGATATAGGCTTTGAAGGAGTAATAGGAGTCGTGAGAGTTGAATTCAAATATTTAATGATCCTTATGTAGATGACAGAATAAATTAATATCCTCCTATTTCAGAGGAAAATACGAAGATCAAAGGGAATAGCTACCACAACTAGATATGGGTTCAATGTAAGGAAGCATTTTATAAAAATAATTGTTGCACAGCATACACAAATCGACTCAAAAGTGATCATAAACCTAAAAATAAGTGCTGAAACTAGAAATCTCATGGGACAACATAAGAGTAAAACATTGTGACTTTGGTACAGACAATAATTTCTTAAATGTAGCACCCCAAATAGAAGCAACAAAATAAAAAATTAGATACATTGAACATCATCAAAATTGAAACTGTTTTATGGGCAAACAATACTATCAAAAGCATGAAAAGACACACAAAACAGGAGAAAATATTTGAAAATCACGTCTCATAACAGACTTGTATCAGAATACATGAATAACTTTTATAACTCAACAATAAAAAGATTAATTACCCAATTTTAAAATGGGAAAAATATTTGAATAGACATTTCACTAAGGAGGTATACAAATAGCCAGTAATCACATGAATATAAAGTTCAACATCATTTTCTATCACAAAATGGAATTAAAACTACAAGAAACTACCGCACACTCACCAGGGTGTCTAAAATAGAAAAGACAGACAAGTATAGGCAGAGATGTTGAGAAATTAAAACACTCATAAAATGTTGGTGAGATTGTAAAATGGTACAACTACTTTAACAAAAAGTCTGGACATTTCTCAAAAAGTTAACCATAGAGTTACCAGATGGCACAAAAAGTCCGTTTGTAGATACGTGCCCAGGAGAATTGAAAAACCATATGTCATACAAAACGTAAACAAATGTTCATGGCAGCATTACTGATAATAATCAAAAAGCAGAAATAACCCACATATCCATCAACTGATAAATGGCTAAAGAAAATTTGTTAGAATCATACAATGGAATATCATTGGGCTATAAAATAGAATGGAGAACTGGCACATGGTACAAAATGTATTGAACCATTAAAATACGCTAAATGAAAGAAGACATGCTTAAAAGCTACATATCGTATAATTCCATTAATATGAAATATTTTTAATGTGCAGATTTATAGAGACAAAATTAAATTAATGATTATTTAGGTCTAGGGCAAGTAGGGAGAAGGAAAGTGACTGTTAATGGGTTTCTTTTGGAAGATGATTAAAATGTTCCAAGATTACATAGTTGTGATATTTCCACAGCTCTGTGAATACACTAAACACCACTGAATTGTATAATTTTAAAGGAGAAAATTTTATGGTATGTAAGTTATATCTCAGAAATGCTGTTATTAAAATATTAATTTTTGTATGATAACCCATGGCACACTCCCCCAATCAATGCTAAAATTTTGCAAGCAGGTGCTGGAAGATTAGGGATACTATGAAAGGGATTATTGCTACATTGGGGCAGACATGGTATTAGATGTCCTCTAATTATCATTTTAATTTTAAGATATAGAATTTTATTCTGAGAGAAAAATGACATCTATAGTGAGTTTTAATTTTCAGTAAAAGATTATGAAAATATTATATTGAAAAATAACCCAATTTTGAATAACTTCTCTATAACAGTAGTTCCACAACACCAGTCCATGAATGACATTGAAATCAACAAGAGGTATTATTAGAATAGATGTTTGAAGCTTCATCTCTACGGCCTCTAATTTCACTAGGTGTGGAGTAATGCCTAGTAATATGTAATTTTTAAAGTTGTCTGAGTGATTTTGATGCATAGTTGGGTCTGAGAAACATTATTTTAAAAGAACGAGTGTTTTTAAAGTTTGCTTATGGTTGTGCATGTTCTGAATTATCATTCAGTATTTGTTGTTAATGAACACATCATAAATCCTACATGGCTGTTATACTCCAAATACTTAACCCTGGACAAAGTTGAAGCATTACTTTCAAATAGGGACAGAGGTATGAAATCACTGCTAAGTCATAATATTCAAGTAGCCTCAATGATCATATTTTGAAAGAAAATTGTGTGCTTCTTTCCTCTGAAATCCTTAAAACATTTAAACAAGAAATAAAGACTAGTGGCACTGGGAAATTCTAAAATTGGGGATCAGATTTTGCAGATTGTGTAATCTCTATGTATGTGTAGATTTTCATTTGCTCTAAATAAATTTGTATTCTTCTCTCATTATTTGTGAACTGTCCCTAATTTTAAAATTACTCTAATTTATGTTTAATTTATATTTATTTTAAAAAGTAATTTAAATTACTATTTTAAAAGTGCTCTTAGGTGAAGTAAGTAATACCACTTTTCAGAAACTTATAATAATAACAGCTTTGGTAGGCATACAAAACATATCAGAAAAACATAAGTTGTTCTTTTTTATTTCATTTTATTTGTATTACTATTTTTAAAATTTCAATTATATTCTGGGGAACAGGTGGTGTTTGTTTACACGGATACATTTTTTAGTGGTGATTGCTGAGATTTTGGTGCATCCATCACCTGAGCAGTGTAAACCATAAGCAATGTGTAGTCTTTTGTCCCTCACCTCCTTCCCACCCTTCCCCTTGAGTCCCCAAAGTCCATTGTATCATTCTTACACCTTTGTGTCTGCATAGTTTAGGTTCCACTTATAAGTGAGAATATATGATGTCTGAATTTCCTTTCCTGAGTTACTTCACTTGGAATAATGGTCTCTAGTTCCATCTAGGTTGGTGAATGCCATTATTTCATTCCTTTTTATGGCTAAATAGTATTCCATGGTATATCTATACCACATTTTCTTTACAGACTCGTTGATTGATGGGCATTTGGTCTGGTTCCATATTCTTGCAACTGCAAATTGTGCTGCTATAAACATGTGTGAGCAAGTGTTTTTTTCATGTAATGACTTTTTTTCCTCTGTGTAGATATTCCAGAAGTGGGATTGCTGGATCAAATGGTGGGTCTACTGTCAGTTCTTTAACGAATCTCCACACTTTTCCATAGTGGTTATACTAGTTTATGTTCCCGCCAGAAGTGTAAAAGTGTTCCCTTTTCATTGCATCCATGACAACATCTATTATTTTTGGATATTTTAATTATGGCACATTCTTGCAGGAATAAGGTGGCATCACATTGTGGTTTTGATTTGCGTTTCCCTGATAATTAGTGTATTCGTCCGTTTTCATGCTGCCGATCAAGACATACTCAAGACTGGGCAATTTACAAAAGAAAGAGGTTTAATTGAACTCACAGTTCTACGTGGCTGGGGAGGACTCACAATCATGGCAGAAGGCAAGGAGGAGCAAGTCACATCTTACGTGGATGGCAGCAGGCAAAGAGAGGGCTTGTGCAGAGAAACTCCCGTTTTTAAAATCATTGGATCTCGTGAGACCCATTCACTATCATGAGAACAGCACAGGAATAACTCGCCCCCGTGATTCAGTCATCTCCCACTGGGTCTCTCCACAACATGTGGGAATTAGGAAAGCTGCAAGATGAGATTTGGGTGGGGACACAGAGCCAAATCATATCATTCTGCCCCTGGCCCCTCCCAAATCTCATACCTTCACATTTAAAAAGCAATCATGCCTTCCCAACAGTCCCCCAAAGTCTCAACTCATTTCCACTTCTGCCCCTCCCAAATCTCGTGTTTTCACATTTAAAAACCAATCGTGCCTTCCCAACAGAACCCAAAGTCTTAACTTATTTCAGCATTAACTCAAACGTCCACAGTCCAAAGTCTTAACTGAGACAAGGAAAGTCCCTTTTGCTTATGGGCCTGTAAAATCAAAAGCAAGTTAGTTACTTCCTAGATACAATGGGAGTACAGACATTGGGTAAATACAACCATTCCAAATGGGAGAAATTGGCCAAAATGAAGGGGCTCCTATCTGCCATTTTTCTTCTTAATCTACATATAATTTTTTCTGTGTATGTGTATCTTTATAGGCCACAGTTCAATTGGTCTTATTTTTTTCATCTACTCCACTAGTCTATGTTTTTTTAAATTGGACAGTTTATTCCATTTATATTCGTCGTTATTATTTATAAGTAAGGACCTACTCCTGCAATTGTTTTACTCCTTTTCTCTCGATGATTTATTGTCTTTTCTCCCTTCTTTCTTTTCCTCCTGTATTTCTTTTAGTAGAGGTAATTTTCACTGGTCATATGATTTAATCTCTTTCTTTAGATTTTTTGTGTGTCTGTTATATATTTTGGTTTGAGCTTACCATAAGGCTTACAAATTCTATCTTATAACCCATTATTTTAAGCTGATAGCAAGTTAACACACTGTGTACATAAAAAGCAAGCAAAAAGAAAACTAATGAAGACTTTATGACTTAACTTTGTCTCCATTATTTTTAACTCTGTGCTGTTTCTATTTATATCTTATTATACTATCTACGTATTGAAAAGTTGTTGGCCCAGTTCGGTGCCTTAGGTCTGTAATCCCAACACTTTGAGGGCTGAGGCGTGTGGATCAGGAGATCAGGAAGGAGTTTGAGACCAGTCTGGCCAACACAGTGAAATCCCGTCTCTACTAAAAAAATACACACAAAAAAGAAAAAAATTAACTGGACATAGTGGTGTGCACCTGTAATCCCAGGTACTCGGGAGGATCAGGCAGGAAAATAATGTGAACAGGGGAGGCAGAGGTTGCCGTGAGCCTAGTTTGTGCCATTGCACTCCAGCCCTGGTGACAGAGCAAGACTCCCTCTCAAAAAAAATAAATAAATAAATAAAAGGAAAGAAAAGAAAAGAAAAGTTGTTGCAGTTATTGTTCTTGATTGGTTTATCATTTAGTCTTTCTACTTAGGATAAGAATAGTTTAGACACAGCAGTTACAATGTCATAATATTTTGTGTTTTTCTCTGTACTTACTATTAAAAGTGAGTTGTGTACCTTCAGGCGATTGCTTATTGCTCATTAATATTCTGGGTTTTTTTTTTTTGGTTTGTTTGTTTGTTTGTTTGTTTTTCTCACTGAAGTCCTCCCTTAGCGTTTCTTGTAGGACCAGTCTGGAAATGATTAAATCTCTTAGCCTTTGTTTGCCTGAAAAATTCTTCATTTCTCTTTTATATTTGAAGAAACAAAGTGTTTTATGTTAAACACTAAATCATAAAGCATAAAGTGTCTTATGTTAAAAGTAAAGACCTCTTCACTTTTCGTCTGCTCCTCAGTCCTGATGCCAGCCTATCACTAGGTCTCACCCAAGGCCCACAAAGCTATTTTGCCACATACACTATCCTACAGTAAATAATTTATTTTTTCTTCTGCACTTTAAGTATGTGATGGCACTTTCTCCTTGCCTATATGTTTTTGAGTGAAAACTCTGCTATCAGACATATTGGAACTTCATAGTATGCTATTTGCTTCTTTTCTCTTGCTGTTTTTAGGATCCTTTTCTTATCATTGATATTTGGAGGTTTAATTATTGAATGCCTTGAGTTAGTCTTCTTTGTTTTTAATCTGCTTGGTGTTCTATAACCTTCTTGTACTTGGATATTAATATCTTTCTTTAGATTGGGAAGTTCTCTGTTTTTATCACTTTCGATAAACTCTGTACCTCCGTTTCTTTCTTTACCTCCTTTTTAAGATGAATAACTCTTAGATTTGTGCTTTTGAGGCTACTTTCTAGATCCTGTAGGTATGTTTTATGGTTTTTTAATTCTGTATATCCTCTGATTGTGTATTTTCAAATAGCCTGTCTTCAAGCTCTCTAATTCTTTATTTGAATCTATGAATTCTGCTATTAAAATAATCTGATTATTCATTATGTCAAAGGCATTTTTCAGCTCTAGAATTTCTGCTTATTTTTAATTATTTCAATCTCTTTGCTAAATTTACCTGACAGAATTCTGAATTCCTTCTAAATGCTGTCTTGAATTTCTTTGAGTTTTCTCAACACAGCTATTTTGAATTATCTGTTGGAAAGGTCACATATCTGTTTTTTCAGGATTGGTCCCTGGTACCTTACTTAGTTCATTTGGTGAGGTGACATTTCCATGGATAGTGTTGATGCTAGTAGAAGTTCTTCAGTGTCTGGGCATTGAAGAGTTAAATATTTATTGTAGTCTTCACAACACAAGTCTTCTAGGCTCACTTGTACCCATCCTTCTTTGGACGGCTTTCCAGATATTTAAAAGGACTTGGGTGTTGTGATATAAGCTGCATCTGCTATAGAGGGGAACCTGAAGCTCAGTATTGCTATGTTTCTTGTAGGGTTGTAGAAGTACCACTTTTATGGTCTTTGAAAAGATCCAAAGGAATTATCTTGATTACCAGGCAGAGACTCTTGTTCTCTTTCCTTACTTTCTTGTAACAAATAGAGTCTCTCTTTCTGTTCTGGTGGGTTGAGACAAGCACTCCTGTTGACACCACCACTATGACTGTGCTGGCTCGGTCCTGATGCCAGCACATAACTGGGTCTCACCCAAGGCCAAAGTAATCACTCCTTGGCTATTGCCTGTGTTCACTCAAGGTCCTGGGGCTCTACAATTAGTAGGTTGCAAAGGTGGCAATCCCTGTGTCATTTCCTTCATGGTAGTGAGTTCCCTCAGGTCCCAGGCAGGTTCAGCAGTGTTGTCTGTGAGCCAGAGACTCAAGTAAAAAACCCTAGAAGTCTACCTGGTATTCTATTTTACTGCAGGTGAACTGGCACTCAAACCACAAGATGCAGAATTCTTTTTTTTTTTTTTTTTTTTTGAGACAGAGTCTCACTCTGTTGCCCGGGCTGGAGTGTGGAGTGCAGTGGCGTGATCTCGGCTCACTGCAACCTCCACCTCCCAGGTTCAAGCGATTCTCCTTCCTCAGCCTCCTGAGTAGCTGGGATTACAGGTGCCCGGCACCACGCCCAGCTAATTTTTGTATTTTTAGTAGAAACGGGATTTCACCATGTTGGCAAGGCTGGTCTTGAACTCCTGACCTCAGGTGATCTGCCCACCTCGGCCTCCCAAAGTGCTGGGATTACAGGCGTGAGTCACCGTGCCCGGCCAATGCAGAGTTCTTTCTACTCTTCCCTCCCTATTCAAAAGACAGAGGAGCCTCACCTTCTGGCCACCACCACCATCAGTCTCACCTTGTGTCCACCATTACCACCACAGGCACACAATGAGCACTGCCAGACTGTTGCCAATATTCTTTTAAGTCCCAAGTGCCCTTCAGTTAGCTTGTGGTCATTGCTGCCTGACCTGGGACTCATCCTTCAGGGCAGTGGGCTTCTCTCTTGCCCAGGACAGGTCCTTAAATGCCATCCAATTCCTACATTCTGGAATCAGAGGCCCCAAGACCCTACTTGGTGCTCTATACTCCTATGGCCCAGCTGGTACCTAAGGCGCATGACAAAATCTTCTTCATATTTTCTTTGCTGCTCTCAAGTAGAAGGAGTCTTGCGCTATAACCACAATAGCTTGGAATGTGGTGAGTCTCATTTGAAGCCAGTAAGTCTTAGAGTCTCATCCAAGGCCCTTGATGTAGTACCTGGATATCATTGCTGGTTATTCAGGGACCCAAGAGATTTTCAGTTAGCAGGTGATGAATGCCGCCAGGACTGGATCCTTCTCTTCAAGGCAACAGATTCCCTTCTGGCTCAGAGTTGTCTAGAAACATTATATGGTAACTAGGGCCTGGAAAGGAGGCCTCATGACTCTTACCAGTGCCCTATCTTGCTGTGGTTGGAAAGACAAAGTCCTTCCCACTCTTCTCTCTCCTCTCCTCAAACAGTAGGACAAGATCTCTTTTGCGGCTGTGAACTGTGCAGCCTGGGATTAGGAGAGGGGTAATGCCAGCTTTTATTAGCCAACCCAGCTTGTGTTGCTATAGGTTGAATGCCCCCCACCCCACCTCAATCCTCTAAGTCTGGACCAGGTTCAGCACTAGGAATTGACTAGGAGTTGCATCTTAAACTGCCTTTCAAGTTTATTTAGAACCCCACTTGGGGGAACTCAAGTTCTGACCACTCAATTCAATAATCATCCTCTGGCCAGGTTTGGTTTACATGCTCCCTCTGTGAGTGGGTTTCAGGTGAGTTTGGTCCGGTTTTCCCTTCTGCTATAACAGGACAGCACTTAATCCAATGCCTCACAATAGCTGTGCTCTCCCTACCCCAGTACACAGGAATGCTCTCTGTACCACTCCACTACTGCCAGAGGATGGGGAAGTGGTGGTGTCAGTTATTCAAGACTGTTTTTACTACCTCTTTGGTGGTACTTTTAATAATACAAAGTTAAAACCAGGTACTGTGAGTGCTCACCTATTTTTTGTTGTTGTTGTTGTTTCTTGTGAAGGTGCTTTTTGTGTACATAGTTGTTAAATTTTTGCCCTCATTGAATAGTGGACAATCTGTAGAGCCTTCTATTTCACCATCTTGCTTCAAATGTCTCCCAGCCAGAGGGCTTTTATGAGAGGGGGATATGGGGAAAAGGAAGCAATTAGTATCACGAAGTGACTACGAAGAACCACAGACATCTGGGTATCAGTGAGGGTCTGAGGAGTTTTGCACCATTTTTGTCCTTGGTTAGGTCACTATACTCCTGTAAATCATTAACAAAACAGATAGTTTTTTTGCATACTAACTCTTTGATCCCAGATTTAGTTTTAAAAACTACATGACTGCTGTGTTTTACAGTATCTCAGTGTTCTAAAATTATCCTTGCCTAAATGGGCAAAGGCTCTTTAAACAAAATTGGGGCTAATTATGTTAGTTCCTTTGCTGTTTCACTGTTACAAGATCAATGAAATTAAAATTTTGCTTTTTCCCTTAGAAGTGGTCACCTTGCATCATGTGGCAGTTCTATTTATAGTTTTGTGAGGAAACTCCAGACTGTTTTTCATAATGCCTGTACTAATGTATATTTCCACCAGCAGTGTATGAGCATTCACCTTTCTCTACATCCTTGCCAGCATAAGTTATTTTTTGTCTTTTGATAAATTCAATTTTACCTAAGGTGAGATGATAGCTAGGAAAAAGGGTTGGAATGCTCACAACACATAAGAATAATTGAGGTGATGTATATCCAAATTACCCTGATTTGATTACTACACATTGTATACATGTTTCAAATTACCATATGTATCCTAGATATATGTACAATAATTAGGTATCAATTAAAAAAATCAAAAATAAGTGGTTAGCCTGCAACAAAATGTTTGACAGTTACGTTCTACTGTACAAATAATTTGTAGATAGGTAAGTTTTGCTTTTATTATTGTTACTAGTAAACATGCTTTTTTCTTACTTTCCAGTGACAGATTATTTTATGAAATTCTGTAACTAACTTGCTTCCTCCTGCACCCTAATTGTTGTTAACAACGGTTTCAATTTTACCTTAAAATTGACACACTGCTGCCAGCGTGGAAACTCGTGCATAATGTTTTCTATTGTATTGCCCACAGACCTGACATTGAACAATTCTATTGACAGTCAGTGTTTCCTGAGTGTTATGCTTTCTACTTTTTTTCAAACAAATTCCAGTGTCATCAGAGGTCTTCCAACACCTTTTCTAATAGAAATGTCAGTTCCTGAAGGTTTAAAATATTTTTTTAATTAGAAAAATGTCTAGTAAGGGCTGGGCGTGTTGGCTCAAGCCTGTAATCCCAGCACTTTAGGAGCCGAGGCAGATGGATCACCTGAGGTCAGGAGTTCAAAACGAGCCTGGTCAACATGGTGAAACCCCATCTCTACTAAATATACAAAAATTAGCAAGGCATGGTGGCGGGTGCCTGTAATCCCAGCTACTCAGGAGGCTGAGGGAGGAGAATCGCTGGAACATGGTAGGTGCAGGTTGCAGTGAGGCGAGATCGCGCCATTGCGCTCCAGCCTGGGCAACAAGAGTGAAACTCCATCTCAAAAAAAAAAAAAAAAAAAAAAAAAGGAAAAGATAAAAAGAAAAAGAAAAGAAAAAGAAAGATGTCTAATATTCTAATATTTTATATAATTATTTGAGAGATATGGAATTATTTGAATGGTTTGTCTTTGTTTACTTTTGGCCGATTACAGGACTGTGATCTCAATTTTTTTTTACTAAAAATAAATGACATTCTTATCTACAACATGAGAGAAACCGATTTATCTGTGGATCATCTTCCAATTCTAAATCCTATAAATTTTCTTGTATAATTTTCTAAAAAGTAAAAGTTATGAATATAGTAAAAACTTTTTGAGTTTTAAAAATATATCAGTTTTACATAGGTACACATCATTCTTACTATATTATTTTATTTAATCTTGCAAATAATAAATATATCTATTTCCATAGTCTTTAGAAAGTCATTTCTAATAGATATATAATTTATCATCATGCTAATGTACAATATAAAATACTATAATTGTATGCATGGTGATGTTTTTGTTTATTTTTATTTTCTCAGAATTAAATTCTATGAAATGTTTGCATACTTTCTGGGATTATAATTTGAATAATTTTAGAGCCATTTTATACTTCTCTCTGGCCTCTCAAAACATGACTGAATAAATGCAGTTACTTGAAAGCAGGAGAAAGATTTTAGAAAAAATGTAATCTTAAAAATATCGTCTCTTATTAAAATATCGTATGTATAGTTTATCAAAACTTTCAGATTATTTTATACAACTCTCTAACTCATTTCAGAAATATGTGTCCACCAAAGAATTGAATGTTATTCCACCTGTCTAAAATGCTTTGTTCTTCATACTCTGTAGGAATGCTAGGGCCTTTTTAGTAGTACAAGACTACCTGAAATAGAGATCTGCCAGTGCCTGGGAATTTTTTGTTAAAACGTGTAATTATAAAGATTGTGATTATATGGAAAATTGGTATATTATGAACTTAGAATCCTACATTTATATTTTGTCTTCAGAAAGCTTTATTATAATTTCAGAAAGAATAAAAAATATTTTTAGTGTAACTATTTCTCACTTAGAAACAGTTACCTATTTTGCTATTTAATTACTCAATATGCCCAGTGATGAATATTTAAAAGAAAATATATAAATAGTGTGGCAGTCGTAGAGTTCCAATTTGTCCATATTAGCTAGAAATTGTATAAATTTTCTTGGTTTATCCTGCTTCTAATGTTTCCCTTTCATGGTACCCATGTGTTTATTAGGCAACTGCAATAATAGAAATACCAAATATCTTAGGTTAAGTCTAGAATAAAAATTACATGTTGGGTAGTGAATCCATTTATGCTAAAACTGTTAGAAAGACCTGTGTGGAATTACACTCACAGCCTTAGAGTCTCAGTTTATCCGTTTATGGAATTCAAATGTTGATATACGTAGGTTTATTTTATATGCTGCAATATAATGCATGAATGTTAGTTTTAATTGAAGAAAATTATATTAAGGTTGTTTATTGATTATAAATTTGAAACATCTGGAATACATTATATTTTTAAGGATATTAGTAATATACGAATTAAAAATATCTTTAATATTAGAAAAGAATTAAATATCTAGAAGAAAAATTTCAAATAAAAATTTACATTGTTTCTTACACTTGACTCCTTTTGAACAATGCAAAGGTTGTAGGAGTTAGCCCCATGCACAAAAATACAAGTATAACTTTTGACTCCTCAAAAACCTAGCTACCAATAGCCTACTGTTGACCAGAGTCTTACTGATAACATAAAGAGTAAATTAACATGTATTTTGTATGTCATATGTGTTATATATTTTGTATGTTATATTGTATTCTTATAATAAAGTAAACTATGGAAAATAAAATGTTATTAAGAAACTCATGAGAGAAAATACATTTGTGGCACTGCACTACATTTATCAATATCTTAAATTTACATTGTCTGTTTACAAGATGTACCTCCTGTCTGAAATGGTGGGCAACTGCAGCTTCAGACCTGTCTGTGGTATATATTAAGCAATTCAACTGTCTATTTTTTTAATCTAAATTTCATTTTAGGTTCAAAGGGTACATGTGCAGGTTTGATAAGTGGGTAAACTGCATATCACCAGGGTTTGGCATACAAATGATTTCATCACCCAAATAGGGAGCAAAGTACAGATAGGCAGTTTTTCTATCCTCACCTTCCTCCTACCCTTGAACCTTAAGTTAGTACCAGTGTCTATTGTTCCTCTTTTTGTGTCCCTGCATGCTGAATGTTTAGCACCCATTTATAAGTGAGAACATGCAGTAATTGATTTTCTGCTCCTCTGTTAATTTGCTTAGGATAATGGCCTCCACCTGCATCCATGTTGCTACAAAAAACATGAGTTCATTCTTTTTTTTATGGCTATCTAGTTTTCTATGACGTATATGTACCATATTTTCTTCATCCAGTGCAACTTTGATGGGCATTTAGATTGACTCCAGGTCTTTGCTATTGTGAAAAGTGCTGCAATAAATGTAAACATGCATATGTCTTTATGATAGAATGATTTATATACCTTTAAATATATACCCAGTAATGGGATTGCTGGGTTGAATGTTAGTTCTGTTTTACGTTGTTTCAGAAATCTCCAAATTGCTTTTCACAGTGGATGAGCTAATTTACATTCCTACCAGCAGTATATAAGCATTCCCTTTTCTCCACTATCTTGCTAACATGTTATTTTTAATTTTTTAATATTTAATAATAGGTATTCTTATTGCTGTAAGGTAATATCTCATTGTGGTTTTGATTTGCATTTCTCTAATGATTTGTGATGTTGAGAATTTTTTCATATGCTTGTTGGTCACATGTAAGTAGAAGTATGTGATCGTGTCCTTTGCCTATTTTTTAGTAGGGTTATGTGTATTTTTCCTTGTTGATTTGTTTAAGTTACTTATAGATTCTGTGTATTAGACCTTTGTTGGATATATAATTCGCAAATATTTTTTCGCATTCTGTAGGTTGTCTCTTTACTCTGTTGATAGTTTATTTTGCTGTGCAGAAGCTTTTTAGTTTAAATTAAGTCCCATATGTCAATTTTTGTAATTTTGCCAATTTGTCAATTTTGTAATTGCTTTTGTGGTCTTCATTATGAAATCTTTGCCAAGGCCTATGTCCAGAATTGTGTGTCCTAGGTTTACTTCTAGGGTTATTACAATTTTAGGTTTTCCTCTTAACACTGCTTTAGCCGCTTTCTAGAGATTCCGGTTTGTTGTATGTTTGCTCTCATTAGTGTCAAATAATTTCTTGATTTCTGCTTTAATTGTATTCTTTACCCAAACCCATTAAGGAGCAGGTTGTTTAATTTATATGTCATTGTATGGTTTTGAGAGATCTTCTTGATACTGATTTCTATATTTATTGCACTGTGGTCCAAGAGTATTGTTGGTACGATTTCAGTTTTTATGAATTTGTTGAGAGTTGCTTTATGGCCGAGTGTGTGATTGACTTATGAGTATGTGCCATGCACAGATGAGAAGAAGATATATTCCATTGTTATTGCTTGGAATGTTCTATAGATGTCTGTTAGGTCCCTTGTGTCAGGGATAAAGTTTAGGCCTCAAATAGTTTTGTTATTTTTCTGCCTCAATGATCTGCTTAATACTGTCAGTGGGTTGTTGAAGTATCCCACTATTGTTGCAGGGTTATCTAAGTCTCTTTGTTGTTCTCTATTAGCTTGTTTTATGAATCTTGGTGCTCCAGTGTTGGGTGCACATCTATTTAAGATAGTTACTTTTTTTGTTAAATTGAACCCTTTTTCATTATGTAATGCCCTTATTTGTTCTTTTTCATCATTGTTGGTTTAAAGTCTGTATGGTCTGAAATAAGAATAGCAACCCCTGTCCTCTTTTGTTTTCTGTTTCCTTGATCGATCTGTTGCCATTTCTTTACTTTGAACCTGTATGTATCATTGCATGTGAAATGGGTTTCTTGACGACAGCACACGGTTTCATGTATTTCTTTATCCAACTTGTCATTCTATTTCTTTTAAGTGGAGCATTTAACGCATTTACTTTAAAAAATAATATTGATACGTGAAGATTTGAACCTATCATTATGTTAGCTGGTTGTTACATAGACTTGATTTTGTAGTTGCTTTTTATTGTCAGTGGGTTATGTATTTAAGTGCACTTTTGTGGAGACAGGTAATAGTCTTTTGTTTCCATATTTAGCACTCCCTTAAGAACATCTTTTAAGACAGGTCTTGTGATAGTGAATTCTTTTAGCATTTGCTTGTCTGAAAGGATTTTATTTATCCTTCACTTACAAAGATTCGTTTGGCTAGATATAAAATTCTTGTTTGGAATTTCCTTTCTTGAAGGATCCTGACTATGCCCCACTCTCTTCTGGTTTGAATTATTTCTGTTGAATTTTCTGCTGTTAGCCTGACTGGTTTCATTTGTACACGACCTGCCCCTTTTCTCTAGTTGTCTTTAATATTTTTTCTTTCACACTGATCTTGGAAAGTCTAACGACTGTATGTCTTAACGAGGGTTGTCTTGTATAGTGTCTTGTTGGAGTCCTCTAAATTTCCTGAATTTGCATGTTTACCTCTCTAGCAAGGTTGGGAAAAATTTTATGGACAATATCTACAAATATGTTTTCCAAGTTGCTTGCTGTCTCTCCCTCTCTTTTTGGGATGCCAATGAGTCATAGATTTGGTGTCTTTACATAATCTCATATTTCTCAGACGCTTTGTTTATTTTTAAAAATTATTTTTTCTTTATTTTTGACTGAGTCGATTTGAAGAACTGGTCTACAACCTCTGAGATTGTTTTATCAGCTCGGTCTATTCTGCTGTTAATATTGGCAGTTATATTATGAAATTCTTGTAGTGAGTTTTTCAGTTCTAGCAGATTAGTTTGATTCTTTCTTAAAATGACTATGTTGTGCTTCATCTCTTGGACTACTTTACTAGATATGTTAGTTTACTTGCATTGGGTTTCAACTTTATGGATCTCAATGATCTTCATTGTCATCCAGATTTTGAATTCTATGCCTGTCATTTCAGCCATTTCAGTCAGTTTAAGAACCACTGTTGAGAAATTAGTGTGGTCATTTGCAGGTAAAAATACATTATGGCTTTTAGAGTGTCCAGTGTTATTGCAGTGATGCTTACTTATGTGCATGAGCTAATTTTTCCTTAATTTTTCAATTTGCTGTCATTTTCATAAAGTTTTTTGCCTTTCTCTTTTTTAATGCCCTTGAGGTTTTGACAGTGGTATAAGTTAGGGTTCATCAATTGGCTTCATTTGTGGATAATTTCAGGGGGTCATGGCTCAGCTCGGCATTCATGGTCTTTGTGATATAACCCTGGGGGGGCTGGGACCATGACCATAGCTTTTTTTTCTCTGGCCCCTTGAGGTTAAGAATCTGCTCTACTAGAGGGGCCTATGTGTTTCTAGTCTGCTGGCCACAACACTGATAAAGGATGCCAGCAAAAGCACTTTGGCATACAGGCAGTGGGTGGCCATATTCTCTGCTTGCACATGTGCCAGCAGCAGTGGGTGTCAGTAGGTCCCATGCACACACATGTTGGTGAAGCCACATGGCGCAAGCTGTGGCTGAATGCGTGCAGGTGAATCAGCAGGCAGAGGCTGTGAGTAAGTGTGCACCAGCTGGGGAGGACTACAGATGGGTGCTCCCTGGTGAAAGCTCACCTGCAGTAGTCCTTCACCTGTTAGGCAGGGTCTGTTGGTAAAAGAGCTATAATGATAGCTGCAGGTAAGTTCCTCAACTTAGCAGCTGAGGCTGTGCTGCAAGCAGGTGCAGCCAGGCAGGGACCCTGTGATAGAGCTACAGACTGGGGAGTACTCAGATCAGGCAGTCCCCATCGCATGGGTAAGATAGCTCTACTCTGTCCAGGTATGGCAGCCTACAAAGGCTAAAGACAACTAGAGGAGTATGGCAGCTCTTGAAGGATGGGTACCCAAGGCCATGCTGCACTGCAACCATTCCTGTGCCAAACATCTGGGCTCCATGCAGGCTGGAGTTCTTTCTCTGTTAAATCTCTGGGCGGTTCCTCCTGAGAGCTCATATGTCTGTGGGGGTCATGAGGTACCCTGCAGCTAGTATTTCAGAGGTCCATGGCAAGAGTGGGCTGCTCCATGCCTATTTACTCACCCCTTCCCCAGGAGCTGCTCAGGGCCAAGAATGGGTCCTGGGGCTTGGCAGCTCCATGAAGGGTTTCCAGCTTCCTCCTTTTTTAGCCCAGGATCTGTGTCCTCCCTCCATCCACTATCAACGCCTTCTCTTTGATGATCTGTTTGGAGTGGACCAGTCCACCTGATAGCTTGTTCTCTCCCAGTGGGAGAAGCTCTTCCTGGCTCTACCTAGTTGGCCATTTTTACTCCCAGTCTTAACTTTTTATTGGAGTGTCATGACTTTGTTTCTTGGGAGCATTTCAAGCATCACTAGTGGCACTTCATATAGGTCCCATAGTGTTATTCAAAGTTTATGGTATTGTACTAAACACGATGAAAAATACATGAGAACCATGAGAGATTAGTTTTTACTGTGATATGATATGCAGTTTACTGGAGAGACAAACTGCTCATGTAGTGATGATTAAATGTCACATGACATTCTAAGCATGTACTCTCAACACCTGAGCTCACCGCAACAGTAATGGAAGGCAGCTATAAAATTATACAATAGTACAGTATCTACTACAGTTAATTTTATGTTGTGATTTAGTACTGCATCTTTACATTTGTTTACATTTCTCTAGACTGCTAATGGCTCCATGTGCAGTCTGTGTGCATATGTTTTGATAAATTTTAACTTTTTATACAAGATTTGTGTATATGTATGGTAGTAAATCATAAAATAGACTAATACCTACATATATTTATGTATCGTGACATACTTCTTAAAATTTTTTTCAGTATTTCTAGTCTGTGCCATTTGCAATTTTTTCAGATTGTTACAAATTTCAAAAAACGTTCCAATATACTTATTTTTAAGAATCTATATATAAGTAGATATGCACATTTCAAACCTGTTTATTTGTTGTTCAGTGGTCAACTATACATGCTAAATGAAAAAATATGATTAGTAAACTATTTCAACTTTGAGTATATGACATTTTAAAAACACATTATTATTAACTAGTCATTTTTTCTACTGTGTCCTGATAAACACTGTTAACATACTCACTTCTCAGCACCGCCCCCATAACCACATAACCAGGGAGGGAAAATTAGGTGTGGGTCTAGATAGAACTGCACATTTAATGCAAAATTATGTGCTGAGGTAATTAGATCAATTATTAAAGATGATGACTAACAAAAATATCTATAGCTCTGATTGTTTTTATCTATCACTTCCTTTTTCTCTATAATTACCATCTTCTAGCCTGTTCAAAGCCCTATAAAATCGAATTTCATGTTGTTTAATAGCAATTATTTTTCCTTAAAAATCTACTTGTGAGGTTGGGGGCCGTGGCTTATGTCTGTAATCCCAGCACTTTGGGAGGCTAAAGGAGGTGGATCACCTAAGCTCAGAAATTCGAGACCAGCCTGGGCAACATGGTGAAACCCCATCTCTAGTAAAAGTACAATAATTAGCCGGGCATGGTGGTGCATGCCTGTAGTTCTAGCTCCTCAGGAGGCTGAGGTAGGAGGATCACTTGAGCCCGGGAGGTGGAGGTTGCAGTGAGCCTGGATCACACCACTGCATTCCAGCCTGGGCAACGGAGTGAGACACCATCTTAAAAAAAAAAAGAGAGAGAGAGAAGAAGAAACAAAAAGAAAGTAAAAAAAGAGAGAAAGCCTACTTGTTCTGATTTTCTTTGCCTTTTCAATTTGTTTTCTCCAGCTATTAATTTAGGAATCTGTTAATCTGAACTGGAAATGTAGATATCCAAAATCATTTACACCAAACATGCAGGTATGACTAGTACATGTACATTTTCAATGCAAATGTTAAAGTCCTAGAATCTTCTTTTTCTATAATTAGTAGACAATATCTCTTGGTTTTTAGCTCAGTACTGAAGGCTTACATAGCATGGCTTTCCTCTGCTAATATTCTCAACCTAAGTTACTTACTTACTGACTGTGTGCTAATGACCAAGTTAGTTAAATTCTCTGTTTCTCAGTTTCCTTTATGTATAAAATGGGAAAAATAATAATGCACCAAGGAGCTGCGGTGAGGATAAAATGAGCTGATATATGTAAAACATTTTGAAAATTTTCTGGCATATTTAAGTTTTCAATCAAAGTTATGTATTGTTATTATACTCTTTAATAGTATTATTATATTGTTGTTGTTGCTATTATAATTATTAAAGAGATATTTTCTTAATTACACAAAAATAATCAAATGTAAAAGGCACACCAAATGTTTTGGAGCAAAAGCTCGCCACAATCTTCTTGAAAGTAGGCGCATAGTTTCTCTGGTAGTTTCAGCTGTGAAAGCACCATGAATTTGGGTAAAAAAATCCTAATTATTTTTAGCAGTGAAACTAGATATATAAGCAAGTAAAAAATAAAAGCAGATACTCCAGTTAAGACAGGTTGGAGATACCCACCTGGCATCATTGCCATACTTGTGGCCCCCAGGGGGCTGCTTGGAACCCTGAAGTTTGCTCTAAGGAAGCCTATTGATATAGTGACTCAAATCATAGGGCAACTAATTTGGGAGAAAGAATGAACTTCATGTATATATATCATCAACATAAATACCTTTGAAAAACATTATATTAAATGAACAACATTGCAGTAACATTGATGTATCACTATATTTTCTCACATACATTTGAAAACACAAAAGGATGTTATATATTTTATGGATTTATATATGCATATAATCCTATACTTTTAAAAAGGCATACTTCTTTAGTTAGAATTCTTGTTTCCAAGGAACAAAATATACTCTGATTAAACTGAAGATAAAAAAAAATTGTAAAGTTGCTTAGCTCAAAAATTGCTAAGAAACTAGAGAAACTGGCTTGAAAACAGGGAGCAGCTATTAAAGAAAGAGAGGCAGTAGGAAATGGACAAGGTTATTTTACAAAAAGAGATCGGATATGATAATATTACCAACACTGCTGTCATAAAACCCTTTATTACCTGCATAATTTCTAAACTGGTCCTTGTATTTGAATCACTCCTTAAATTTTATAATCCTTAGCAGGAATACCTTATTGGTTGAGTCTAATTCAAGATTCTGCACTCTGGCCACTTTGGCTGATAGAAATTAGAGAAAAGGTAGATTTGGCACTTCAAATCTATAATTGACAGTATTTCCTAGACTTCCACTAAGACTTAAGCAATGAAAGCTATTTCGTTGTTAAGAATGGTGTTCACGTTCATGGTAACAAAGTAAAAACAAACCCAAACCCCCCAAAAAGTCCAAAACACATACAAAACACCTTAGAACACTTGCACTTATGACAGGAGTTGATGAGTAGGGATACTCGAGAAGGGAAACTTAAACTTTATCTACAATGTCATAACATTAAGAAGACAATATGTTCTTTTGTTATATGTATGAATTTTTTTTTTTTTTTTGAGCTGGAGTCTCACTCTGTCACCAGGCTGGAGTACAGTGGCATGATCTTGGCTCACTGCAATCTCTTTCTCCCAGGTTCAAGAGATTCTCCTGCCTCAGCCTCCTGAGTAGCTGGGATTTACAGGTGCACACCACCACGCCTGGTTAATTTTTGTATTTTTAGTAGAGACGGGTTTCACCATCTTGGCCAGGATGGTCTCGATCTCTTGACCTCGTGATCCACCCGCCTCGGCCTCCCAAGGTGCTGGAATTGCAGGCGTGAGCCACCACGCCTGGTCTATGGTATGGATTTTTAAAAAGTACTTACAAAGCAACAAAAGACTGGAAGCATAAATGTTAAATGTTAAGGGTAACTAATTCTGGGAGTGACAGAATAAAGATAACTGTCACTTTATGTTTTTTAAAATAGCTTTATTGAGATATAATTCAGATACCATAAAATTCATTCATTTAAAGTGTATACTTCTGTGCTTTTTAGTACACTCACAGAGTTATGCAACCATCATCACTAATTCCAGAACATTTTCATCATTCCACAAATAAACCTCATACCAGTTAGCAGTCATTGTCCTTTGACTCTCTCCCAGCCTCTAGCAATTACTAAGCTATGTCTCCATGAATTTACTTATTTATAGGCATTGTATATAAATGGAATCATACACGTGTGGCCTTTTTTGCCAGACTTCTTTCATTTAAATTAATGTTTCATTTAACACGTTTCATCTATGTTTTAGTTTGAATCAGTATTTCATTACTTTTTTATGTCCGAGTAATATTTCATTGTCTATTTTGCACATTTATTTACCTACTAATCCGCTGACAAACATTTGAGTTGTTTCCCCCTTTAAGCTAATATGGATAATGCTCCCATGAGCATTATTGCATACATTTTTCTATGAACATGTATTTTCATTTCTCATGGGTACATAATTAAAAGTAGAATGACAGACCACATGAAGACTCTATATTGAACATTTTGAGGACCTGCCAATTTGTTTTCCAAAGGAGCTGAATTATTTTACAATGTCACCAGTAATGAAAGAGGACTCGAGTTTCTCCTAATCCCTCACCAAATTTTATTATTTGTCTTTTTTATCATGGTCATTCTAATGAGTGTGAAGTGGTATTTCCTTGTGGATTTGATTTGCATTTCCCTGATGGAAATGATGTTAAATGTCTTTTCATGTCCTTACTGGTCTTTTCTATATCTTCATTGGGAAAATGTCTATTCAGATCCTTTAACCATTTTTTTAGTTGGGTTATTTGTTTGTTTATTGTTGAGTTGCAATAGTTTTTTTTTATTTTGGATGCTAGACCCTCATCAGATACATGATTTGGAAACATTTTCTTCTAGTATTTGAATTGACTTTTTCATTTCTAAATAGCATACTTTTAATGCACAAACATTTTGAATTTTTTGAAGTTCAATGTATTTGTTTATTCTTCTGTTGCTTGTGTTTCTTGTGTAATATCTGAGAAATAATTGCCAAATCTAGCATCATGATGATTTATCCCTGTTTTCTTATAAGAGTTATATAGTTTTAGCTCTTAAATTGTGATATTTGATTCATTTTGAGATAATTTTTATATAGTATCATGTAAGGATCCAGTGGCATTTTTTTCGACTGTGTGTATATCCAGTTGTTGGAGCACCATTTCTTGAAGAGACTGTTTTTTTTTTTTTCACTGAATTCCCTTGGCAATCTTTTTGAAAACTAACTGACCATAAATGTAAGGGCTTATTTTTGGATTCTAAATTCTATTCTATGGATCTGTAAGTCTTTTCTATGCTATTATCACAATACCTTGGTTATTGTAGATTTACAGTGAGTTTTGAGATTGGGACATTTGAGCCCTCCAGCTCTTTTATTTCTCAAGGCTGTTTTGGTCTTTCTGGGCCTCTTGCATTTTCATATGAACTTTAGTTAAGATCAGCTTACAAATATCTGCAAAAATGGTTCCTCTTCTGGCAGTCTTAGACCCTGGGTATACCCTGAGCTCTAGTATTTCTATCTCTGATTTGTAATTCTAGCTCTAAGAATGGAGGCTTTCAGCAATTGTTATCTGTTAGGTCACCTGACCGTCTCTTAGTTTCAACTCTCCAACTTTGTTATAATCAGCTGCTGATATTAAATATTATTTAATGAACTACTGGATTTTAGTTGTGTTTTCTGGGGTATATGCTGAAATACATCAATAATCAAAAAAACTAACCTTCACTACTGCAATGACTGAAGTGCCGAGAAGAACTCAGTTGGAGAGACCCTAACCCAGTAGCGCTGGAGGAATTAAGGACACACACACAGAAATATAGAGGTGTGGATTCGGAAATCAGGGGTCTCACAGCCTTCAGAGCTGAGAGCCTTGAACAGAGATTTACCCACATATTTATTGACAGCAAGCCAGTGATAAGCATTGTTTCTATAGATTATAGATTAACTAAAAGTATTCCCTACCGGAAACAAAGGGATGGGACAAAATAAAGGGATGGGTCTGGCTAGTTATCTGTGGCAGGAGCATGTCCTTAAGGCACAGATCGCTCATGCTATTGTTTGTGGTTTAAGAACGCCCTTAAGCGGTTTTCTGCCCTAGGTGGGCCAGGTGTTCCTTGCCCTCACTCCAGTAAACCCACAACCTTCCAGCATGGGCGTCATGGCCATCACGAACATGTCACAGTGCTGCAGAGATTTTGTTTATGGCCAGTTTTGGGGCCAGTTTATTGCCAGATTTTGGGGGCCCATTCCCAACACCGAAGGAATACTTTTTATTTTCCTTGTTAACAATCTAAGAGAATAAAATTGAACTTAGGCAAAGGAAAAATAGAGACTGTGATCTCTTTTTTGTTCTTTCACATCAATCGTGCTCAAATTATAGGACAAAAATAATATTTGTCACCATAGCATGTGTTTCAGCTTGATTATGTGGTATCTTAACCAATATTTTAAAATTTTTTTAATTTTTAACATGTGTAGTTATATAGGAGGTGTATATATTTATGGGGTAGAGGAGATGTTTTGATACTGGCATGCTATGTGAAATAAGGGCATCATGAAGAATTGGTTATTCATCTTCTCAAGCATTTATCCACTGAGTTGCAAATAATCCAATTACACTTTTTATTTCAAAATGTACGGTTATTATTGGCTATAGTCACCCTGTTATGCTATCAAATAGTTGGTCTTATTCATTCTTTCTATTTTTTGGATCATTAAACATCCCAACTAACCCTCAGCACTCTACTACCATTCCAAGCCTATGGTAACCCTCATTCTACTCTATGGCCATGAGTTCAATTGTTTGGATTTTTAGATCCCACATATAATTGAGAACATGAGATACTTGTCTTTTTGTGCCTGGCTTATTTTGCTTAACATAATGATCTCCAGTTCCATCCATGTTGTTGCAAATGACTGGGTATCCCTCTTTTTTTAATGGCCTGATGGTATTCCATTGTGTATAAGTACCACATTTCCTTTATCCATTTATCTGTTGATGAACACTTAGGTTGCTTCCAAATCTCAGCTATTGTAAACAGTGCTGCAACAAACATATGAAAGCAGATCTCTTTGACATACTGATTTTATTTCTTTTGAGTATATAAATAGCAGTGGCATTGCTGGATAATATGGTAGCTCAATTTTTAGTTTTTTTGAGGAACTTCCAAACTGTTTTACATAGTGATTGTACTAATTTATATTCACACTAACAGTGTACAAGTTTTCCCTATTCTCTACATCTTTGTCAGCATTTGTTATTGCCAGTCAATTGGATATAAGCCATTTTAACTGGGGTGAGATGATACCTCATTGTAGTTTTTATGTGTATTTCTCTGATGATCAATGATGTTGCACACCTTTTCACATGCTGGTTTGCCATTTGTATGTCTTCTTTTGAGAAAGGTCTAATCAAATCTTTTGACCTTTTTCAAATCAGATTCTTAGATTTTTTCATATAGAATTGTTTCCACTTATTTTAAATTCTGGTTATTAATCTCTTATCAGACGGGTAGTTTGCAAATATTTTCTCCCATTCTGTGGGTTTTCACTTCACTTTGTTGATTATAGTCTTTGGTGTGCAGAAGCTTTTCAATTTGATGTGATCTCATTTTTCCATTTTTGCTTTGGTTGCCTTTCCTTGTGGGATATTGCTCAAGAAATATTTGACCAGACCAATGTCCTAGAGATCTTACCCAGTGTTTTCTTATGGTAGTTTAATGGTTGAGCTTTTGGATGTAAATATTTAATCGATTTTGATTTTATTATTGTGTATGGCAAGAGATAGAGGTCTAGTTTCATTCTTTTGCATATGAATATCCAGATTTCCCAGCATTATTTATTGAAGAAACTGTCTTTTCCCTGGTGTATGTTCTTGGAACCATTGTCAAAAATCAGTTAATTGTAGGTGTGTGGATTTATTTCTGGGTTCTCTAGTCTGTTCCATTGGACTATGTGTCTGTTTTCACGCCAGTACCATGCTGTTTTGTTTTGCTTACTATAGACCTCTAGTATAATTTGAAGTCAGGTAATATTATTCCTCCAGTTTTTTTTGTTTGTTTGTTTGTTTTGCTTAGGATAGCCTTGGCTATTCTGGGTCATTTCTGTTTCCTTATAAATTTTAGGATTTTTTTTCTATTTCTATGAAGAATGTAATTGGTTTTTTGATAGGAATTGCATTGACTCTGTAGATGGATTTGGGTTGTATGGACATTTTAACAATATTGATTCTTTCGATTCATTAACATGACATATCTTTTCATTTCTTTGTGTCTTCTTCAATTTCTTTTATTAGTGTTTTCTGGTTTTCATTATAGAGATATTTCAGCTCTTTAAGTTAATTTCTAAGTATTTAATTTTATTTGAGACTATTGTAGATGAGATGACTCTTTTGATTTGTTTTTTCAAATTGCTTACATTTATAGGCATATAAAAATGCTAGGAGGTGCAGGTCACAGTGAGTCAAGATCATGCCACTGCACTCCAGCCTGGACGACACAGCAAGACTCTGCCTCAAAAAAAAAAAATGCTACTGATTTTTGCATGTTGATTTAAATGCTGCAACTTTTCGGAATTTGTTTATCAGTTCTAATAGTTTTTTCGTGGAGTCTTTAGGTTTTCCCAAATATAAGATCACATCATTAGCAAACAAGGGTAATTTTACTTCTTCCTTTCCAATTTGGATACCCTTTATTTCTTTCTCTTGCATGATTACTCTAGCTAGTAATTCCAGTACTATGCTGAGTAACAGTAGTGATAGTGCACATCCTTGTTATTTTCCAGAATTTAGAGGAAAGATTTCAGTTTTTCCCCAATCACTGTGATACTGGCTGAGGGTCTTTCATATATGGATTTCATTATATTGAGGTATGTTCTCTCTATCCCCAATTTTTTGAGGGTTTTTATCATGAAGAGATGTAGAATTTTATCAAAAGCTTTTCAGTATCAAGTGAAATAGTAATATGTTTTTTCTTCTTCATTTTGTTGGTATAAGGTATCACACTGATTTGTTTGCATATTTTGAACCATCCTTGCATCCCAGGGATGATTCCCACTTGGTCATGATGAATGATCTTTCTAATGTATTGTTGAATTGGTTTGCTGGCATTTTGTTGAGGATTTTTACATCAAAGAGATACAGCAAAAGCAGTACTCAGTTATAAGGTTATAGGTATAATTGCCTACATCAAAAAAGAGGAAAAACTTCATCAGATATTTTGGCCTGTAGTTTTCTTTTCTTGAGTGTCTTTGCCTGCTTTTGGTATCATGGTAATACTGGCCTCATAGAATGAGTTTGGAAGTGTTCCCTCCCCTTCTATTTTTCAGAATAGCTTGAGAGGGAATGGTATTACCTCTCTTCAAATGTTTGGTGGAATTCAGAAGTGACACCATCAGGTCCCAGGCTTATCTTTACTGGGAGACATTTTACTATGGCTTTGATGTTGTTACTTGTTATTGGTGTGCTCTGGTTTTGGATTTCTTCCTGGTTAAATCTTAATAGGTTGTATGTATCTAGAAATTTGACCATTTCTTCTAGGTTTTCCAATTTATTAACATGGAGTTGCTTATAGTAGCCATGAATGATCCTTTGAATTTCTGCTGTATTAGTAGTTATGCCTCTTTTTTCATCTCTGATTTTATTTATTTGAGTCTTCTCTTTTGTTTTCTTAGTCTGGGCAAAGCTTTGTGAATTTGTTTAAACTTTCAAAAAACCAACTTTTTACTTAATTGATGAATTGTTTTATTCAGGTCAATTTCATTTATTTTTGTTCTGATCTTTATTATTTCTTCTCTTCTAATAATTTTGAGTTTGGTTTGTTCTTGCTTTTCTAGTTCTTTAAGATGTATTATTAGAATGTTTATTGCAGTTTTTCTCTTTTTTGATGTAGGCTTTCTGAGAGTTGCTTTTGCTATATCTCATAAGTTTGAGGATGTTGTGTTTTCATTGTCATTTGTTTCAAGAAATTTTTAATTTCCTTTTAAAATTTCTTTAATAACCCAATGGTAATTCAGAAGAATCTTGCTTAATTTCCCTGTATTTGTATAATTGCCAATATTCCTCTTGTTATCAATTTCTAAAATTTTCCATTTTGGTCAGAGAAGATGTTTGATATTATTTCGATTTTTTTGAATGTTGTAAGACTTGTTTTGTGACCTAACACATGGTCTATCCTTGAGAATGATCCATGTGTGAGGGGAAAAAAATTTGCATTCTGCAGCTCTTAGATGAATGTTCTGTAAATATCTATTAGATCATTTGGCCTATAGTGCTGATAAAGTCTGATGTTTCTTTGTTGATTTTCTGTCTGAAAGATCTTTCCAGTGCTAAAAGTGAGATGTTGAAGTCTCCAGATAATTTTATTGGGGCCTGTCTCTCTCTTTAGCTCTAATAATATTTTCTTTATATATTTTGGTGCTCCAGTGTTGGATGCATATATATTTAAAATTGTTATATCTTCTTGTTGATTTGACCTTTTTATTATTTCAAAGTGAGATTCTTTGTCTCTTCTAATAGTTTCATCTAGAAATTCATTTTGTGTGATAAAAGTGTAGTGACTCTTGCTCCTTCTTGAGTTCGATTGGCATGGAATAACTTTTTACATCCATTTATTTTCAGTCTTTCTGTGTGTTAATAGGTGGAATGTGTTCCTTGTAGGCAGCAGAACAACGGGTCCTGTTTTTTCATCCATTCAGCCTAGTCTATGTCTTTTGATTGGAGAGTTTAGTCCATTTACATTCAATGTTATTATTGATAAGTAATAACTTATTCCTGCCATCTTGCTATTTGTTTTCTGGTTAGTTTGTTGTCTTCCCTTCCTTCATTTTTTCATTCATAGCTTGCTCTAGTGAAGATGATTTTCTCTGGTAATGTGATTTAGTTTCTTGCTTTTGTTTTTTTTTGTGTGTCCATTGTATGATATTTTTGTTGTCGTTTGAGGTTACCATGAGGCTTGCAAATACTATCTTACAACCTATTATTTTAACCTGATAACAACTTAACACTATTTGAATAAACAAACGAACAAGCAAAAACTAGTAAAAACTTGCCTTAACTTCATCCTTCTTCTTTTCAACTTTTTATTGTTTCTATTTATATCTTATTATATTATGTTTTGAAAAGACATTGTAGTTATTATTTTGATTGGTTCAACATTTAATCTTTCTACTTAGGGTATGAGTACTTTACACACCACAGTTACAGTGTTATAATATTCTGTGGGTTTTTTGTGTACTTACTATTACCAGCAAATTTTGTACCTTCAGGTGATTGTTTATTGCTCATTAATGTATTTTTTTTTCTGATTGAAGTACTTCTTTTAGCATTTCTTGTAGGACAGGTCTGGTACTGATGAAATCTCTCAGCATTTCTTTGTCTGGGAAGGTCTTTATTTTTCCTTTATGTATGAATAATATTTTTGCTGAATATACTATTCTCAGTAAAAGTATGTGTTTTTGTCTTTCCTTTAGCACTTTAAATACGTTGTGCCTCTTTCTCATGGCCTTTTAGATTTCCATTGAAACGTCTATTATCAGACATATTGGAACTTCATTGTATGTTTTTTTTTTTTCTTTTCTCTTGCTGCTTTTAGTATCTTTTTCTCATCCTTGCTCTTTGGGACTTTAGTTGTTAACTGCTGTGAGGTAGTGTTATTTATATCAAATCTGCTTGGTATTCTCTAGCCTTCTTTTACTTGATATTGATATCTTTCACTAGGTTTGGGAAGTTTTCTGTTATCATCCTTTTGAACAAACTTTTTATCCTACCTCTTTCTCTACTTCCTCTGTGATGCCAATAACTCTTAGGTGTGCCCCTTTGAGGCTATTTTCTAGTTCCTGTAGGCATGCTTCCTTGTTTTTTATTCTTTTTTGTCTTTTCTGAATGTGTATTTTCGAATAGCCTGTCTTCAAGCTCACTAATTATTTTTTCTGATTGATCAATTCTGCTATTAAACGACTGTTATGCATTCTTCAGTATTCCAATTGCATTCTTAACCTCCAGAATTTCTGCTTGATTCTTTTTAATCATTTTAATATCTTTGGTAAATTTATACAATAAAATTTCTAATTATTTCTCTGGAATATATTTATTTTCCTCAACACAGCTATTTTGAATTCAAGGTATGAAAGGTCATATATCTCTGTTTCTCCAGGATTTTCCCTGGTGCCTTTCTTAGTTCATTTGGTGAACTCATGTTTTCCTGGATGGTGTTCATGCTAGTAGATTTTCTTTGGTGTCTAGACATTCTAGAGTTAGATATTTGTTGTAGTCTTTACTATTTCAACTCATTTGTAGCTGTCCTTGGGATGCTTTCCAGATATTTGAAAGGACTTTAGTATTTTGATATAATCTGTTTCTGCTTTAGGGTGCACCTGAATTCCAGTAATGCTGTGGTCCTTGCAGACTCGGAACAATACCACCTTGATGATCTTGGACAGGTCTGGGAGAATTCTCTGGATTACCAGGCAGAGACTCTTGTTCTATTTTCTTACTGTCTTTTAAACATGCAGAGTCTTCTCTCTGTTCTTAGCCACCTAAAGCTAAGAGTGGAGTGACACAAGCACTGCAGTGGACACCACCACCATGACTGCACTGGTTCATACCTGAAGCCAACACAGCACTCGGCTTCACCCAAGGCCTGCTGTAACCACTCACTTTCTGATGAATATGTTTATTCAAAGCCCTGACGCTCTACAATTAGCAGGTGGCAAAGCCAGCTAGCCCTGTTTCCTTCCCTTTAAAGTAGCAATGTCCAGTCCCTGGGCAGGTCCAAAAGTTCTGTCCAGGACTCAGAAATTTGAATCAAAAACATTAAAATCTACCTGGTATTATATTGCACTACAGCTCATCTGGCACTCAAACCACAAGATGCAGTCCTTCCCACTTTTCCCTCTGCTTTCCAAAGGCATGGGAGCCTCATCCCATAACCACTGCCACCCAAGTCATTGAGAAGTCCTCTCAGACTACTACTGTTGTTTCCTTAAGTGCCAAAGTCTCTTAAGTCAGCTTGTCATGAATGCTGCCTGCCTTGGGGACTCACCTTTCAGGACAGTGGTCTCCCCTCTGGCTGAGAGCAGGTCCAGAAATGTCATCAAAGAGTCAAGTCCTAGAATTGCAAATTCCAAAAGCCTGTTTGGTGCTGTATCTTCCTATGATAGTGTTGGTACCTAAGGTGCAAGACAAAGTCCCCTTTGCTTTTTTTTCTGCTTCTCATAAGAAGAAAGAGTTTCACTGTGTAGCAAGTTTAGTTGGTAATGTGCTGAGTCTCGTCTTGAAGCCAGCAAGTCTCAGAGGCTCACGAAGGCCCTCAATGTAGTACCTGGGTGTTGCTGTTGGTTATTCAGGGCCCAAGGGCTCCTCAGTTAGCAGGTGACAAATGCTGGCAGGCCTGGGTCCTTTCCTTCAAGGCAGCATGTTCCCTCCTGGCCCAGGGTGTGTCTAGAAATTTCATCTGGGAGCTAAGGCCCAGAACGGGGGCCTCTTGACTCTGACTGGTGCCCTATCCTGCTGTGACTGACCCAGTATCCAAGATGCAAGACAAAGTCCTCCCCACTCTTTTCTCTCTTCATGCAGAATGAAGGAGTCTCTTTTAGGGCAGAAGGAAGGGATCTCTTTTGGAGCCTTAATTTGTGCTGCCCGGGGTTGGGAAAGGCTGATGCCAGCACACCCTTGGCTTTCCCAGCTGGTGTCTCAGTATGTCCCATGCCCCACCCCCCTACTCCACTTTCTCTAGGCCTAGCACAGCCCTAGGGCTTGCCTAAAATTTGTAGTCCTTATGGCCTAGACTACTTTTCAAATTTACGTAGAGACTGAGAACACTTTGGCCTTTGTCAATGGCAACGTTTGCAGACACTCAAGTTTTGATTACTGGGATGGGCAATTCCCTTCTGTAGGATTGGATTAAATGCTTCTTTTGTGGGTAGCCATCAGCTGAGTTTGGTCTGATTTTCCTTTCTGCTCTAACAGAACAGTAATGAGTTTAATGCTTCACAATTACTGTGTTCTTCCTCCCCCAGCACCCAGAGAAGCTCTCTGTACCATGCAGCTGCTTCTGGGGTGGAGAAGGGGTAGCCTCCATGATTCAAGACTATTTTTTTTTTCTATCTCTTCAATGTCTCTTTCACAAATAGGAAGTTAAAACCTGGTAATATAAGTGCTCATCTAATTTTTTTAATAAGATGCTTTACTTTTCTGTGAAGATAGTTTTTAATTTGGTGTCCTTGCGGGGTGTAGATGGGGATCATTGGTGGAATTTTCTTAACTGTCATCTTGCACCACATCTCTATGACCAATACTTTAGATTCAACTTTATAACTTAAGTAAGCGACAAAGAATATATTATTTTTATACTTTTAGATTCATCCAAAGCACTATACGTACAGATATTTTTAATCTATTCTTTACATCATTCTCCTTAATAATATCTTATCACTTTACTTTTGCAGATGACTACCTGTAATATAAAATATACAGTAGCATTGCTGTTCAATTTTTTGCATTATTAAGTTGCCTTACTTTATTGTGAATGTACCTCTTTTTGTGCTTTGCTCAGTATTTGAGTAAAGTGTTTGTGATGGTTAATATTGAGTGTCAACTTGACAGGATTGAAGGATGCAAAGTATTGTTCCTGGGTGTGTCGGTGATGGTGTTGCCAAAAGAGATTAACATTTGAGTCAGTGGACTGGAAGAGGTAGACCCACTTTCAATCTGGGTGGGCACAATCTCATCAGCTTTCAGCATGGTTAGAATAAAGTAGGCAGAAGAATGTGGAAGGACTAGACTTGCTGAATCTTCTGGCCTTGATATTTCTCCCATGCTGGACGCTTCCTGCCCTCAAACATCAGACTCCAAGTTCTTCAGCTTTTGGACCCTTGGACTTACACTGGTGGTTTTCCAAAGGCTCTCATGTCTTCAGCCACAGACTGAAGGCTGCACCGTTGGCTTTCCTACTTTTGAGGCTTTAGAACTTGGTCTGGCTTTTTTGCTCCTCAGCTTGCAGGTGAACTATTGTGGGACTTCACCTTGTGATTTTGTGAGTCAATACTCCTTAATAAACTTCCTTTCATATATACATCTATCCTCTTAGTTCTGTCCTTGTAGAGAACCCTGACAAATATAAATTTTGGTACCAGAAGTGGTCCTAAAAGAATATAATTTTAAGGACGGAGTCCTTTAGTTGGTTTTGGGATTTCTGGAGTTGGCTGCTTAATATGATTAGACCCCAAAATGCTAAGGACTATACTTCTAATGGTGTGAAGAACACTGACAGTACATGGCATGAACTGTTTAGAGAGTTATGGAAAATAAATACATTTCATACTCTTCATTCATCGCTCATAAGAGGCAAGGAGTTTAGTGACTCTATACATAATACCTTTGACCATATGTGGAGAACCAAAAATGATAATGACATTGGTTGGGTGCTCCTAAGTTCACTGAACAATGTGATGAAAGAAAATAATGAACTCAGTAATTCTATCTCCTGGCTCCACAAGCACATACTGAACCTTAAATCTTTTAAGATTGCCATGAGTGAGAGTCTTGTCTCCTTCAGAGATAGAGCTGAAATTGTGAAAAATCAGACACAAACTCCTATGATGCAAGTGGCTGACCTGCAAGGAAATGTGTATGCACAGCCTTGCCCGTTGTCTACTGTTAAAGTAAGGGCATTGATTGGAAAAGAATGGGACCCTGCAACTTGGAATGGGGACATGTGGAAGGACCCTGATGAGACTGGGGGCATTGAGCTCCTAAATTCTGATGAGCCCTTTTTGCCAGAGGAAATAGCCACCCCACTTCCAGAGGTGGCAGCTTCCCCTCCCCCACCCATGCTGCCATCAGCCTTTCCACCTTTGTCTGAGGAGGTTAGCCATTCACTGCCTGAGGCAACAGTGGTGGCCTCCCCTGAGTCAGTGGCCAGGCAAGACAATGCTGATTCTCCTCGGGACTCACCCTCAATACCTCGTTTGCTTCTAGACCTATAACAAGACTCAAGTCCCAGCAGGACCCTACAGGTGAGGTTCAGAGTGTGACCCATGAGGAGGTACACTACACTCCAAAAAAACTGAGTTTTCCAATTTATATAAGCAGAAATCTAGAGAACAGGCATGGAATGGATATTAAGGGTGTGGGATAATGGTGGAAGGAACATAAAGTTGGATCAGGCCGAATTTATTGATATGGGCCCACTAACCAGGGATCTTGCATTTAATGTTGCAGCTTGGGAGTTAAGAAAAGGCTCTAATAGTTTATTTGCTTGGTTAGCTGAAATATGGAGCAAAAGGTGGCCTACTGTGAGCAAGCTGGAAATGCCTGATTTCCCTTGGTTTAATGTAGAGGAAGGGATCCAAAGGCTAAGGGAGATTAGAATGCTAGCTTCCAATGTCACTTCCACCTGGGAAGGTCCAGAAGTCATACCCTCCGCCAGTATAGATTTGTGAGGGAAACATCTGCTTTTTTTTTTTTTGAGACAGAGTCTCGCTTTGTCTCCCAGGCTGGAGTGAAATGACATGATCTCGGCTCACTGCAACCTCCATCCCCCCGGGGTTCAAGCAGTTCTCCTGCCTCAGCCTCCTGAGTAGCTGGGATTATAGGCACCTGCCACCATGCCCAGCTAATTGTTGTATTGCTAGTAGAAGCGGGGTTCCTCCATGTTGGCCAGGCTGGTCTCGAACTCCTGACCTCACGTGATCCACCTGCCTTGGCATCCCAAAGTTCTGGGATTAGAGGTGTGAGCCACAACGCCCATCTGCATCTGCATTTTTGAAGAGCAATGTGATTGCTCTTCTCTGTGTGCCAGATCTTACAGTGGGAACCACAATCACTCAATTAGAAACTTTAAATGCAATGGGAATAATTGGACCCAGAGGCAGCAGGAGCCAAGTGGTGGCACTCATCCATCAAAGGCAAGGTGGGCATAGTTACTGTAATGGACAGCAGAGGCAAAGCAGCAATCAGAATAGTCTGACTCATGCAGAGCTCAGGCATTGGCTAATTAATCACGGTGTTCCTAGAAGTGAAGTTGATAGGAAGCCTACTGCATTATTACTTAATTTATTTAAGCAGAAAACTTCCAGTTCGAGTGGATGAAGGACGAATTTGAATTATAAAAATAGAGAATCATGGCTCCTCAATCAATTTCCAGACTTGAACCAGTTCACAGACCCAGAACCCCTTGAATAAAGAGGAGGCTGGCTCCGCTTGAGGAAGGACCCCATTACACTACTGACAATTTATGTTGTTAGTCTTTCCCCCATCCTTCCCCAAGGAAACCTCTGGCCTTTTACCAGAGTAACTGTGCACTGGGGAAAGGGGAATAATCAGACCTTTTGGGACCACTGGACACTGTCTCTGAGCTGACATTGATTTCATGGAATGCAAAATGTCATTGTGGTCCTCCAATTAAAGTAGGGGCTTATAGGGGTCAGGTAATTAATGGAGGTTTAGCTCAAGTCCAACTTACAGTGGGTCCAGTGGGCCCCTGCCTCATCCTGTCATCATTTCCCCAGTGTCAGAATGCATAAATGGCATCGACATACTTAGCAGCTGGCAGAATCCCGGCATTGAATTCCTGACTGGTAGGGTGAGGGCTATTCTGATGGAAAGGGCACAGTGGAAGCCAATAGACCTGCCTCTCCCTAGAAAAATCATAAAAAAACTATCCTATCCCTGGAAGGGTTGCAGAGATTAACGCAACCATCAAGGACTTGAAAGACACAGGGGTAGTGATTCCCACCACATCCCCATTCAATTCTCCTATTTGGCCTGTGCAGAAGACAGATGGATCTTGGAGAATGACAGTGGATTATTATAAGCTTAACCAAGTGGTGATTCCAATTGCAGCTGCTGTACCAGATGTGGTTTCATTGCTTGAACAAATTAACACATCTCCTGGTAACTGGTATGCAGCCATTTATTTGGAAACTGCCTTTTTCTCCATTCCTGTCCATAAGGCCCACCAGAAGCAATTTGTCTTCCGCTGGCAAGGCCAATAATATACCTTCACTGTCCTATCTCAAGGGTATATCAACTCTCTGGCTTTGTGCCATAATCTTGTTCACAGAGATAGTGATTGCTTTTCCCTTCCACAAGCTATCACACTGGTCCATTACATTGATGACATTATGTAGATTGGATCCAGTGATCAAGAAGTAGCAAACACACTGGACTTATTGGTGAGACACTAGTGTGCCAGGGGATGGGAAATAAATCTGAGAAAAATTCAGGGAACTTCTACCTCAGCAAAATTTCTAGGGGTCCATTGGTGTGGGGCTTGTCAAGATAGATAGATATTCCTTCTAAGGTGAAGGATAAGTTGCTGCATTTGGCCCCTCCTATAACAAGAGAGACCTAACTCCTAGTGGGCCTATTTGCATTTTGGAGGCAACATATTCCTCATTTGGGTGTGTTACTCCAGCCCATTTATCGAGTGACCCAAAAGGTTTCCAGTTTTGAGTGGAGTCCAGAACAGGAGAAGGCTCTGCAAAAGGTCCAGGTTGCTGTGCAAGCTGCTCTGCCACTTGGGACATATGACCCTACAGAGCCAATATTGCTTGAGGTGTCAGTGGCGGATAAGAGTGTTGTTTGAGGAATTTGGCAGGCCCCCATGGGTGAATCACAGTGGAGGCCTGTAGGATTTTGGAGCAAGGCCTTGCCATCTTCTGCAGATAACTACTCTCCATTTGAGAAACAGCTCTTGGCCTGTTACTGGGCTTTGGTAGAAACTGAATGTTTGACTATGGGTCATCAAATCACTATGTGACCTGAACTGCCTATCAGGAACTGGGTGCTTTCATTACTCATCTAGTCATACAGCGGGTCATGAACAGCAGCATTCCATCATCAAATGGAAGTGGTATATATGTGATTGGGCTTGAGCAGGTCCTGAGGGTGCAAGTAAGTTACATGAGGAAGTGGCTCAAATGTCCCACTCCTGCCACCATGCTTTCTCTCCCTCAGCCTGCACCAATGGCCTCATGGGGAATTTCCTATGATCAGTTGACAGAGGAAGAGAAGACTAGGGCCTGGTTTACAAATGGTTCTGCACGATATGCAGGCACCACCCGAAAGTGGACAGCTGCAGAACTACAGTCTCTTTCTAGGACACCCCTGAAGGGCAGTGACAAAGGGATATCTTCCCAGTGGGCAGAATTTCGAGCAGTGTACCTGGTTGTGCACTTTGCATGGATGGAGAAATGGCCACATGTGTGATTATATAATGATTCATGGGCTTGTAGCCAATGTTTTGGCTGGATGGTCAGGGACTTGGAAGAAGCATGATTGGAAAACTTGTGACAAAGAAATTTGGAGAAGAGGTCTGTGAATGAACCTCTCCAAGTGGGCAAAAACTGTTAAGATATTTGTATCTCATGTGAGTGATCACCAAAGATGACCTCAGCAGAGGAGGATTTTAATAATCAAGTGAATAGGATGACTTGATCTGTGGACACTGCTCAGAGTGTTTCCTCAGCCACCCCTGTTATTGCCCAATGGGGCCATGAGCAAAGTGATTATGGTGGCAGGGATGGAGGTTATACATGAAATCAACAACATAGACTTCCACTCACTGAGGCTGACTTGGCTACGGCCACTGCTGAGTGCCCAATTTGCCAGCAGCAGAGACCAACAATGAGAACCATTTCTTGGGGTGATCAGCCAGCTACTTGGTGGCAGGTTGATTATATTGGACCTCTTCCATCATGGAAAGGGCAGCAGTTTGTCCTCACTAGAATAGACATTCAGTCCAGATATGGGTTTGCCTATCCTGCACACAATGCTTCTGCCAAGACTACCATCCAAGGAGTCACCTTATCCACTGTCATGGTGTTCCAGATAGTATTGCCTCTGACCAAGACACTCACTTTATTGATAAAGAAGTGCAGCAGTGGGCTCATGCTCATGGAATTCATTGGTCTTACCATGTTCCCCATTATCCTGAACCAGCTGGATTGATAGAACGGTGGAATGTTCTTTTGAAGTCACAATTATAATGCCAACTAGGTGACAGTACTTTGCAGGGCTGGGACAAAGTTCTCCAGAAGGCCGTGTATGCTCTGGATCAGTGTCAAATATGTGGCATTGTTTCTCCCATAGCCAGGATTCACGGGTCCAGGAATCAAAGGGTGGAAGTGGAAGTGGCACCACTCACCATCACCCTTAGTGACCCACTAACAAAATGTTTGCTTTGTGCTCCCAGGATATTACATTCTGCTGGCCTAAATGTCTTAGTTCCAGAAGAAGGACCGCTGCCACCAGGAGACACAACGATTCCATTAAACTGCAAGTTAAGAATGCCATCTGACCACTTTGGGCTCCTCCTACCTCTCACCAACAAGCTAAGAAGGGAGTTACAGTGTTGGCTGGAGTGATTGACCCGGACTACCAAGTCTACTACTCCGCAATGGAAGTAAGGAAGAGTATGCGTGGAATACAGGAGATCCCTTAGGACATCTCTTAATATTACCATGCCCTGTGATTAAGGTCAATGGGAAACTATAACAACCCAATCCAGGCAGGTCTACAAATGGCCCAGACCCTTCTGAAATGAAGGGTTAGGTCACTCCATCAGGTAAAAAATCATGACCTGCTGAGGTGCTTGCTGAAGGCAAAGGGAATACAGAATGGGTGGTAGAAGAAGGTAGTCATCAATACCAGCTGCAACCACATGACCAGCTGCAGAAACGAGGACTATAATTGTCATAAGCATTTTCTCTTTATTTTGTTAAGAACATGTTTGGGGATGTATACATTTGTACTAAGATAATATCTTTATTTTATTTCCTTTATTTTTCCTTTATCATGTGACATAAGATTTATTGATTTCATATCAACATTTAAGTGTTGTTAACTTTATGTAATAGCATTTAGGTTAAGGATTAGTGTGCTTCCGATTGTACGAAAGATAGCTGTATTATGTTAGGTGTAATGATGACCTTACTATTGTCTTTATTTGAAGATTATATATGATTTCAGGAGCTGTGTATGGGTACAAGTTGACAAGGGGTTCAAGTTGACTTGGAATGGTTAATATTGAGTGCTAAGTTGATTGGATTGAAGGATGCAAAGTATTGTTCCTGGGTGTGTCTGTGAGAGTGTTGCCAAAGGAGATTAACATTTGAGTCAGTGGACTGGGAGAGGCAGACCCACTCTTAATCTGGGTGGGCACCATCTAATCAGCTGCCAGAGTGGCTAGAATAATGTAGGCAGAAGAAAGTGGAATGGGGAAACTCGTTGAGTCTTCTGGCCTTCATCTCTCTCCTGTGCTGAGTGCTTCCTGCCCTGGAACATCAGACTCCAAGTTCTTCAGCTTTTGGACTCTTAGACTTACTGTGGTTTGCCAGGGGCTCCCATGCCATCGACCACAGACTGAAGGCTCCACTGTTGGCTTTCCCACTTTTGAGGTTTTGGAAACCAGACTGGCTTCCTTCCTCCTCAGCTTGCAGATGGCCTGTTGTTGGACTTCACCTTGTGATAGTCAATACTCCTTAATAAACTCCCTTTCCTATGTATATCTATCCTATTAGTCCTGTCCCTCTAGAGAACCATGACTAATACAGTGTCAAAAGTGAAAAGTTGTTAATCTCTGACAAAATCATGCCCTACAGTAGAAGTAGATACAGATCTAACAAAGACTACTGGTATAAAATTTTACATATTTTCTCAGGAGTGACATTGACACCGTATCTCATTCCTAAAGCATCATAATTGCTCTGAATATCAGAGTTTGACACATTCATGATTTTTTTCTGTAAGAAAAAGTGAACAGAGGCTTACTGTAGATTCACTATGCTTAACAAAAGAGCTTTGAGAGAATGGTGTATAAGAAATAAAAATGAAAAGTACAGAAGTCTTTACCAAAATATGTCACTGTTTTCAATACCAAGACAGTAAGAAAAGGATGGTAAGCACAGTTAGGAGTGCTGCAATGAGTTCATCAATTGTTCCTTGTATAAAATCAAAATTATACTTTTTCACATATGTGCCTTGAGTACCTCAAAAAAAGGATGCTAGGTGTCTCCGTCTTTCTAGGTACTTGTTAATTTTTTACCTGAGAGTAGAAGATATACATTGAATTTTTATTTAACTGGCTTTTTAAAAGGTTTAATTACCTACCCTTAACATTTGGGTTCATCTAACGGTGTTGTTATTTTGGATTATTTAATATTACTTGTTGAGGGTAGCAATTCTTGGCCAGTTAAGAAGTATCCCTGGGCTTGTCCATGTAAAGTTTGTTAGTTAATTGCCAAAGTCTGTTGGTTATTTAGAGCAGTGAATTGGTTGAGAATTTTTATGATTTTTCCTCATCTTTTTCTTTTGTATTCACAAATGTTAATGTAAATAGATAGTTCTAGGCATATCTTTGTCTTCTGTTGACGTTTGTACACTGTACTTGGTAATCTGTGCCTACCGCTATTCTGTCTCACGTTATATATCAGTTTAAAATGAAAAAGATTGTGTTAAACCTTCAGAATACAGGATGAAACACCTATGTTAAATGAATGCTTAAGATTTGCAAGACATACACTAATAAACACACCATAACCTTTATCCTAAAAAAATGTAGACCCTGATAGGGAAGATGGTTGCACATAAATAACTATGATGTAAGGCCAAACATTTAAACACTATAAAAACCATAAGACAGGCATAAACAAACAAATAAATTATAATAATTGGTAAAATCAGGAAAAGCTTCACAATGGTTGAGTATAATTTTTAAAGGTGGAAAGAAAGGTAAAGAACATTCTATGTTGTAGTACAAAATTAAACGATGTCAGAAGAATTAAATATACTAATTGCTTAGTAATGAGTCATTTATTATTTCTTTTTTTTTATTTTATTATTATTATACTTTAAGTTTTAGGGTACATGTGCACAATGTGCAGCTTAGTTACATATGTATACATGTGCCATGCTGTTGTGCCGCACCCATTAACTCGTCATTTAGCATTAGGTATATCTCTTAAAGCTATCCCTCCCCCCTCCCCCCACCCCACAACAGTCCCCAGAGTGTGATGTTCCCCTTCCTGTGTCCATGATGTTCTCATTGTTCAATTCCCACCTATGAGTGAGAATATGCGGTGTTTGTTTTTTTGTTCTTGCGATAGTTTACTGAGAATGATGATTTCCAATTTCATCCATGTCCCTACAAAGGACATGAACTCATCATTTTTTATGGCCGCATAGTATTCCATGGTGTATATGTGCCACATTTTCTTAATCCAACTTCGGCAAAGTCTCAGGATACAAAATCAATGTACAAAAATCACAAGCGTTATTATACACCAATAACAGACAAACAGAGAGCCAAATCATGAGTGAACTCCCATTCACAATTGCTTCAAAGAGAATAAAATACCTAGGAATCCAACTTACAAGGGATGTGAAGGACCTCTTCAAGGAGAACTACAAACCACTGCTCAATGAAATAAAAGAGGATACAAACAAATGGAAGAACATTCCATGCTCATGGGTAGGAAGAATCAATATCGTGAAAATGGCCATACCGCCCAAGGTAATTTATAGATTCAATGCCATCCCCATCAAGCTACCAATGACTTTCTTCACAGAATTAGAAAAAACTACTTTAAAGTTCATATGGAACCAAAAAAGAGCCCGCATCGCCAAGTCAATCCTAAGCCAAAAGAGCAAAGCTGGAGGCATCACCCTACCTGACTTCAAACTATACTACAAGGCTACAGTAACCAAAATAGCATGGTACTGGTACCAAAACAGAGATATAGATCAATGGAACCGAACAGAGCCCTCAGAAATAATGCCACATATCTACAACTATCTGATCTTTGACAAACCTGAGAAAAACAAGCAATGGGGAAAGGATTCCCTATTTAATAAATGGTGCTGGGAAAACTGGCTAGCCATATGTAGAAAGCTGAAACTGGATCCCTTCCTTACACCTTATACAAAAATTAATTCAAGATGGATTAAAGACTTAAACATTAAACCTAAAACCATAAAAACCCTAGAAGAAAACCTAGGCATTACCATTCAGGACATAGGCATGGGCAAGGACTTCATGTCTACAACACCAAAAGCAATGGCAACAAAAGCCAAAATTGACAAATGGGCCCTAATTAAACTAAAGAGCCTCTGCACAGCAAAAGAAACTACCATCAGAGTGAACAGACAACCTACAAAATGGGAGAAAATTTTCGCAATCTACTCATCTGACAAAGGGCTAATATACAGAATCTACAATGAACTCAAACAAATTTACAAGAAAAAAACAAACAACCCCATCAAAATGTGGGTGAAGGACATGAACAGACACTTCTCAAAAGAAGACATTTATGCAGCCAAAAACACATGAAAAAATGCTCACCATCACTGGCCATCAGAGAAATGCAAATCAAAACCACAATGAGATATCATCTCACACCAGTTAGAATGGCAATCATTAAAAAGTCAGGAAACAACAGGTGCTGGAGAGGATGTGGAGAATTAGGAACACTTTTACACTGTTGGTGGGACGGTAAACTAGTTCAACCATTGTGGAAGACAGTGTGGCGATTCCTCAGGGATCTAGAACTAGAAATACCACTTGACCCAGCCATCCCATTACTGGGTATATACCCAAAGGACTATAAATCATGCTGCTATAAAGACACATGCACACATATGTTTATTGCAGCACTATTCACAATAGCAAAGACTTGGAACCAACCCAAATGTCCAACAATGATAGGCTGGATTAAGAAAATGTCATTTATTATTTCTAAAAGGAAGCGGGCTATGACTTGGTGAATGACAAAGAATAATGTCAAGAAAGACAGCTTTCTTACCAGTAATTAAGTGGGTTATTAACAGTTACTAACATTCAGTAAATTACTAAAGTTAACAGAGGACTATAATTCCATCAATATTGTAAGAAGTTTGTCTTATTCGATGTGTGGGGTAACACTGCATCACTTCTTCCATACATGCAAACACTGATAGTTGGAATTGTCGGTTTTCAGAAAATGTGTTTTATTATCAACATGTCATTTATATTATTTTCATTGTTTCCAAAAGCTGATTTTCTGTTAGTACAGTTTGTAAAAAACTGTTAAGAAATACATTTATATTATTGACAAAACAAAATATTGTAAAATTTTATAGTTTATGAAAATTTAGAATTTTGTGATCATTTTGTGATTGTATCATAGTGACATTGCTATTATTGTGATCACTGTTTTATCCTCAGTTTTTTGTTACCACTGGACAGTAGGAGTGAGTGAGGTATGTAAGCTTCACGGTTTTTTATCCTATTTAAATGGGCCTATGTCTCAAAATGTGAGATTTACTGACCTGTAGGATTTGAATGCCATGTTAAGGAGTATAGACCATATAACAAAAACTATGGAAAATTCTTCAGTGTCTTATAAAATGAATAGTAGTATGCTATAACATGTCTTAGAAGTGTGAAGCACTGTCTAAATGAGAAAGGACCGATTATAATCATATAGACCAGTTTCGAGTGGTAGTAAAGGGGATGAGTATGTATACCAGAATTGTGACAGTAGGGATTTTTAAATGAGGATAGATCCTAGAACTAGGAAAAGGAAGTTTGGCTTGGTCCATGTATAGTTCGAAGTATCTGTAGAATATTTATAAGTTGTCTTGCAGAAAACTGTCCTGTAGATATCTTACAAATGATATTCAGAAATAGATTTGTGAGTCATCAGCATAGTTTCTTAATAGTTAATGAGATTGTTCAGGGAAAGTTATAAAATGGGAAGGGACTAGGATCAAAGATGAAAACTTAACCGTTTATATTGGGAGGGAGGCGTGAGTTTATAAAGGACACTGAAAAGGAGTATTTGAAGTAGGAGAATGAGAACTAGCGTAGTAGTATATTGTTGCATTAGCCAAGTAGAGAGCCAGATTACTGAAAGAAACAATAAAACAATACTTTTTTTGTTTAATTTTGAGATGGGGTCTCTGTCTATCTCCCAGGCTAGAGTATAGTCTCTCTAACTTTTGACCAATAACTTCTATTCAACTTTTTAAATGATTTTTAATGATTTCATAAGCCATCACAATAGAAGTCTAGTATATGTTTGACAAAGATGTGGACTTGACAAAATTTTCTGTTTCTCTTACAATTCCTCTCATGGCCTCTCTTATGAGGCTGTATAACACAGATATAAAGGAGATGGCTTTGAAACCCATAATTAAATCTTAGACTTATCCTTTACTATATAAATTAATTTAGGGAAGTTACTATGATTGTTTCCTCATTTATACAGTGGAGATAGTCAGAGTACCTATCTCCAAGTGTCCTTGTGAGGATGAAGTGAGATAATGCATGTAAATCAGTTTAGAATGAGTCTGGCAATCAATACTATCTTCTCACTAAGATTAGATATCTAACAGTCTAAGTTTCTTTTGTCCGCAAATCTGTTGTTCACTCCCCTCCCCCATAGGCTCTGTTTATCTGCCGCTTCAAAGAAAAAAAATCATCCTTCTACCTCAGGCTGCTAAACCCAATATTTGTGTATTGTAAATATATTACTTTTCTGTATATTATGATATACCCAAATATTATGATATTTGGACATCTTAAACAACCTTTCTAGCTGAGGAAAGATGGTCATTCCTAGGACTAACCAATTCTTGGAAATAATGAAAAGCCCAACTGGAAGCGTGTCTTTGATACGCAAATTAACAAATCCAAAGCCACACCTCCTCTTTCTGACTGTACACTCCAGGAGACAATATTCCTCTGGCCTAATCATTTCAGGACCAGGAAACTAAGGACCGGCTCTACAGGTTAAAGCCCACCAAAAGTATTCAAACCAGCCAGTCCTAAACTGATATCCCTGCCCTGCCTTGCCATTTCCTCAGAAACCTCAATAAAAGCTGTGGTCTGATGCAGTCCCCTTGCTCCTGTCTTCTGCCTCCTGACCCACCTGGTGTCTTTCCCATGTGGCTTTCTGAGGCATGTCTTGCTTCCTTTCTCTAGGACCTATGAGTCTAATAAATCTTTTTCTATTTTTTTCCTGAGCCTCTTCTCCATATTCTCTTCTGGCTGCTCTGACTGAAAAGCATACAAAGCATATAAAACCATATACAACTGTGTTCTTCTTCTACCCCATGGTTATGTTGTTGGACATATCACTCTCCCTTCAAACACCACATGCTTTGAATCTTATTCCTTATCAGTGTCTCAAACTAATGATCAATTACTCATTAGTTTTCCTATATAGCCAAGTATTATTTTTCAAGTGGATCCCTCTTACTGACATTTAAAACATGCTCCAGTCTCTCTTATTTAAAAATACATTTCTCCCTTGACTTATATTTTTATTCAGCTCTCATGCCGATTCTCCTTCTCTTCACTTTATAGACATGCTTCTTGAAAGTGTTGTCTATACTATCTAATTTCATTTCTTCAACCCTTACTCCTAACTTACTCCAATTTGGATTCTCTCCTAATCACTACACCTGGATGGCTCACACTAACATCAGCAATGACATTGATGAAGTTTACCAATATCATATTTCAGTTTCTATTTTTTAATTTCATGACATAATTTTGTTTTCTTCTACACTTGGAATTCCTCAAGACTCAGTTCCAAGTACTCTTTTTGCTCATACCATACTCTCCCCTTAGGGGAACTTAACCATACCAATGCCTTCTGTTCTTCTTATTTGTTCGTATCTAAAGCCCAGACCTCTTGTGATACCAGTTACATTTATCTAGCTCTCACAGAAAATCTCCACTTGACTATCTCAAAGTTACTTTAAATTCACCATATTTAATGCAATATGTGATTTAGTCTTCACCTAGTAAGTCCGCTATCAGTGAATGGCATCTCTCTATCGAGTTTTGAAAACCAGAAATTTAGGAGTTATTCATAAATACTCCTGTCTTTCTTACTCCCTATGTCCAATATAGCAGCAAACCTTGCTAATTTACATAGAGAAAAAAGTCCATGAGTGACAAAATTGTGACTTATTTGGATTATCACTGTATCTTTAGAACCTAGCACAATACCTGGCAAAGAGTAAGGACTCAATAATTATTTATTAAATAAATTAATTAATGAACATGGGAAGTGTTAGCAATTTAACATGTTAATATTTTCATGGGCATTAACTACTTTTAATATACTTTATGTTGTAGGAGTAAGTATCACAAATATATGTTAAACATTTCTGGCAGGTATTTTCGTTTTCTATGGCTGCTGTTATAAATTACCAAAATTTAGCAACTTAAAACAATAAAATTTTTTAATCTTACAGTTTTATAGTTTAGAAACCTAAAGTGGTCCTCCCTGGACTGAAATCAAGGTTTCCACAGGGCTGTATTTCTTTCTGAAGATTCTCTGGGAGAATCTTTTTTCTTGCCCTTTCCTTATTCTAGAGGCCACCCATACTCCTTGGGCTTGTAGTTGTCTTACTTCTATCTTTAAAGTCAGCAAGAGTTCTTCTTACATCACTCTGACCTCCTCTTCTGCCTCCCTTTTCCACATTTAAAGACCCTTGTGATTATACTGAGGTCACCTGAGTAATTCTGGATAATCACTCTATTGTAAGGTCAGCTGATTAACAACCTTAATTCCATCTGCTACCTTAATTCCCCTTTACCATGTAATATAATGCATTATAAAATTCCAGGAATTTTAGTATCTTCGATGGGCCATTATTATGCTTACTAAGTAAGCATATAGCACAGACAAATAATCACTGACTAGGCAACATCTATAAAATCAACAGTTGGTACATATTAATAACGTTGCCATTTATTGAGAGCTTATCATGTCGTATATATGGTGGTTATTATTTTAGATATATTATTTCAATGCTAAAAACAACCAAATGAAGTATAATTCTAATAGCCTCAGTTTATGTATAAATAAACTGAGTATTACAGAAGTGAAGTAATAAGCACGTTCATATGCTGTGAAGTTGTGTCAGGCTTCAAAGTGCAAGTATCTGCCTCCAAAACCTGCTTTTCAGGGAATCACTGTACTTCATTGCCTATGAACCCTAATATGTAGATTGGATTTTGTGGTTTCATTCATCCCATGATGTTCATGCAACTTTCAGACTTTCTCGGGTATGTTATATCACTTTTTTTAAAAAAAAAAAGACAGAGCCTCACTCTGTTGCCCAGGCTGGAGTGCAGTGGCATGATCTCAGCTCACTGTAACCTCTGCCTCCTGAGTTCAAGCAATTCTCATGCCTCAGCCTCCCGAGTGGCTGGGATTACAGGCACGTGCCACCATGCCCAGCTAATATTTTTGGGGGGAGTTGTTGTTTTTTTTTTTTTTTTTTTTTTGGAGAGACACGGTTTCACCATGTTGGCCAAACTGGTCTCGAACTCCTGACCTCAAGTGATCTCAAAGTGCTGGGATTAAAAGCGGGAGCCACTGCGACCAACCCTGTTATATCATTTCCTAAAGATTCTTACAGTCCAGTTATAGTGTCAATATGCTGCTGGAGACAAAAGTATAAGTGCCAGGTGTTGTGGGATATACCAGGGATCACGCCTGTAATCCCAGTACTTTGGGAGGCTGAGGCTGGTGGATCACATGGGGCCAGGAGTTTGAGACCAACCTGGCCAACATGGCAAAACCCCATCTCTACTAAAAATACAAAAATAGTCGGATGTAATGGCACACACCTGTAATCCCAGCTACTCTGGAGGCTGAGGGCTGATGCAGGAGAATCACTTGAACCCGGGAGGCGGAGGTTGCAGTGAGCCGAGATAGCACCACTGCACTCCAGCCTGGGTGACAGAGTAAAACGCTGTCTCCAAATAAATAAATAAATAAATAAATAAATAAATAAATGAAAGTATAAGTATAAAACAATGATAGCAAGGGTAGCTTATGATATTTAGGTATACATGAGAAAGAATCCATGTAAAATGACAGAACTTAATATTTTCACAGTAACAAATCACATTTTTCTTATCCTTTTTGTACTCCAGTATCAATAATTTTAATAACAAAAATAGTGTTAATAATAATAATTGTTACAGAATAGTCAGTTTCTTAAAAGATGAAAAAAACAAAAACTCTGCTAATTTAGTCTGGAATCAATTTTCTGTGAACCTTGCAGTCTACATCAATATTGACCCTCAAATAGTGAAAACAAAGTTAAACTAAAAAAATGTGCTATATACTACAATATATAAAGCACTCTATCTGGATGTTTTAAGTAATATAAAAATAATGGATTTTATGTGATGCATTTCTTACATTACACAGGCAACAATGGACCATAGGGGTTAACATCATCCAACAATATAAACCGAAGTAGACCAAAAATAGTCTAAGAGAAACTGACTTGAGATGTTGCAGTAGTCATAGTTGATGCCACTCAAAACTATTAGTCTAAACCAATCATAGTAATAAAATCTTATTTATTTTGCCAGTAATAAGTTTAGAAATCGGCATGTGGCCCAAAACTTGTCAATGTGATATGCAAACACTGCGGAGTTCCTTCTCAGGAAAGTCAGCATGACACTACAAAAAGACATACTTTTCTTCTTTTGGAGGTCACCATGTCAGAAGTTGACACCTTGAGCTATTTCAATCCTATTGTTAGAAGCCTGAGGGTAAATTCAATATATGAAAAAACTGCAGATTGTAAAGAATCACAGAGAAATGGAGCCAGAGCCTTGAGGCCACCCTGACTCCTTACTTTTGTAGCTTAGTAAATTTCATTGTTATTTAAGTCATTCTGAATTGGGTTGCTGTTTTATGGACCAAAAGCACCCTAAATGATACAAAGTAAAAGTAAGTAAAAGATTAGATAATAGAACATAGGAGACTTAAGGGATAAATTCCCCCCAAAATTTACAGTCTGAAGAGGTCTAAATGTATTTATAGATGAAGTTGAAGAATTGATTGAAATGAAGAAAACAAAGATAAAATAGTATAAAAGAGAGAAGCAAAACTAGAGGAGATAAGGTCATGAAAGAGACAATCTTCTTAATTTTGCCCCTTTTTTATCCCCACTTTCAGAAGTACCTGAAAGTAACAATTCTTAGGATCAGGAGAACAATGAGCACAATGTAAAGTCCATTAGGACAGAGAGGTTTTTTTCTTTAAATTAACAGGCATGTACCTAGAACCTAGAACATAGGTGCCTGAAACACAATTAGTCAATCAACACTTATTTGCTAAGTTAAAGAAATGATGTCCAAAGACTGGGTGGTGACAGTCATCAAAGCTGAAAATGATAATTCTTGCATCTGTTGTCTAAATCAAAAGTGAGAAGACATAATTTGATTTCATAAATTCCTGTTAACTGGCTATGTTATAAAACATCTTTCTGGTGGAAGTACAACTCTGCAACAGAGTAATTGCTAGATTTTATTCATTCATACAATTTCTATTGAAAAAAGTCACAAAGAAGCTATTAATTAAAAATAATAAAGTAATGGAACCAATGTCCAAAACATGTAAAGTTTTAATTTAAAACTTCTATTTTATGTGTGTTTTTTAAATTAAAACAAAGAAGCTGTTAAAATTTGAATGATGATATTGAGAAAGACAAAAGGTTTACATGTGTAATGTATTATCAAATGCTGCTATTTAATTTGGGACGGTTAATAAGAGGAAAATAAGACATAAATAGTACAGAATATTAGGAGGCAAAACAACAAAGATGGTGAACATGGGACTTAATATATGTTATATCTGAACAGCATAATTAAAAGAGCTAAATTTTTATACCCAAGTTCCAATAATGTTACTGATCCATAGCTAAAAAGTTCCAAGGGTTAATTTAATGTATATTTTGAAAAGTTAGGCATTATTGGCCATAGACCATATTAAGTGCATTACAAATTTTAATAAAATGCATTGTTTTTGTCACTGTAGTATAATAGTGGCAGTTGAGTGTGAAGAAATAGATTCCTTCTTCCTCTTTTGTTTTCAGTGCTGCTTTGTTAATTTTTAACTCAAGATGTCCCTCTGCTGGAGTACTGGATTATTGATATGTAAACTAATTCTTTGTACAGGGCATGCTCAGATTTTGAGAATGAATTATCTAAAATGTTTCTGCTGCTTTGTAATAAACTAACCATGTTACACTTGAAGTGTGATAATTAAAATATACATATTAATATTTCTATAAATTACTTACAGAATTTCTGTTAAAAACTATTTCCCACACCAGTCCATTTTCCAAGTGCAAATCTAAGTTCCATCCCTGCTACCCTCACTCTCAACAATAACTTCTCTTTTACATATAATCTGATTGATATAATCTTCCTAATCTACTTATTTTCTTCATACCAATTCATACAATATTTCCCTTTTGTGTTTGACTTATTTTACTTAGCATAATATTTTCAAAAGTCATCCATGTTGTAATATGCATCAGAATTTTATTTCACTTTAAGGCTAAAGAATAGTTCATTAGATGTATATAGCACATATTGATAATTCATTCATACATATATAGACATATGGGTTATTTTCACTTTTTGGCAATAGCAAAAAAAAAGTTTCTTTGTTCATTTTATCATAACCCTCTTCTCTGTTCTATTCCTATATTCTAAATTCCAAAGCCATTTCACTCAATTTTTTTCTCATCCCTTTTGGGATATTTCCACATTCATGATTTTTTCTTGCTACTGTATCGGTTGTTATGGTGGTGAAATACACATAACACAAAATTTACCATTTTTAAGCATACAGTTTAGTGGAATTAAGAATATTCGTGTTCTCGTGCAACTATCACTACTATTGATCTCCAAACCTGTTCATCCTTCAAACCTGAAACCCTGTACCCACTGAACAATGATTCCCAATGATCCCCTCCCATGCGACCCTATAACACACTATTTTGTCTCTAAGAATTTGATTACTCTAGGTATCTCACGTGAGATCATACAATATTTTCCCTTTTGTGTCTAACTTATTTTACTTAGCATAATATTTCTGAAAGTCATCCATGTTGTAATACACATCAGAATTTTATTTCATTTTAAGGCTAAAGAGTAGTTCATTAGATGTATATTTCACATATTGATAATTCATTCATATATATATAGACACGTGGGTTATTTCCACTTTTTGGCAATTGCAAATAATAATGCTGTGAACATTCATGTACAAATAGCTGTTCCAGTCCTTCCTTTCAATTCTTTTGGATACATACCTAGAAGTGAAATTTCTGGATATATAGTAGTTCTGGGTTGAATTTTTTCAGTAACCACTAGAGGTCTTCAACAGCTGCTACATCATTTTACATTCTCATCAGCAATGTACTAGGGTTTCAATTTCTACACATCCTTAACAACTTTTTTTTAGATTAGTTTTATTTCATATTGATAATAGCCATTATAATGGGTATAAAGTAATATGTTATTTTCATTTTATTGTCTTAATGACTAATGATGTTGATAATTTTTTATATATTGAATACTTGCATATTTCTTTGGAGAATTGTCTAAGCCTTTTGTCCACTATTCAATTGATTTGTATTCTTTTTCGTTGTTGAGTTGTAGGAGCTCTTTATATATATATTCTAGAAACCAATTCTTTATCAAATATATGACTTGCAAATATTTTCTTTCATTTTATAAGTTGCTTTTTCACTTGTTTGATAGTGTTTCACTATTTGATAGTGTTTCACTTGTTTGATAGCACAAAGAAGTTTTTAATTTTGATGAAGTCCAAAAAAATTATATATATTTTGTTGATGCCTGTGTTTTTGGTGTCACATCTAAAAAAATCACTGTCAAATCTAATGTCATAAAGATTTGCCCCATATTTTCTTATAGGTTTTATATGTTTTATAGTTTTAGCTCATATTATTTTATTTTTTAATTGGCAAATTAAAAATGCATATTTTTAAAAAGACAACATAATATTTTGAAATATGTATACACTGTGGAATGGCTCAGTTGAGTCATATGAGTTGAACATATACATTACCTCACATACCATATTTTTGTGGAGAGAACACTTAAAATCTACTCTCAGAGATTTTCAAAATAAAACATATATCTTTTAACTACAGTCATCATGTTGTACAATAGATCTCTTGAAATTATTTCTCTTATGTAACTGAAGTTTTGTATTATTTGACCAATGTCTCCCCGACCCCTTATACCTCATCCTCTAATAAACACCATTCTATTGTCTACTTCTGTGACTTCAATGTTTTATTTGTTGTTGCTGTTTTTAGATTCTATATACAGGTGCGATTCTTCAGTACTTGTCTTTTTGTGTCAGGCTTCTTTCTCTTAATATAATGTCCTAAGGGTTCATTCACGTCACAGATGATGACATTTGCTTTTTTTCTAAGACTGAATAGTATTCTGTTTTGAATACATGCCATATTTTCTTTATTCATTCATCTGTTGGTGGACACAGGTTGATTCCGTACCTTGAGTACTGCAAATAATGTTGAAATGAACTTGGGAGTGCAGATATTTTTTTTTTCATATACTGATTTCCTTTCCTTTGAATATGTACCCAGAAGTGGGATTGCTGGATCATATGGAAATTCTATTTTTTATTTTAATTTTTTGAGGAAGCTCCATATTGTTTTCCATAATGAGTATACCAATTTACATTCCCACTGACAGTGTACCACTTTCTAACTGTACTCACATGGTTTTTTTTCTGTGTATGTACATCCTGGTGTCTCCGTGTGTCTAAATTTTCTCTGTTATAAGGACATCGGTTAGGTTGGGTTAGAGCCTACACAATTATCCTCATTTTAACATAATCACCACTTTAAAGACTAGATTTGCAAATACAGTCATATTCTAAGGTACTGAAAAATCGTGGCTTCAACATATGAATTGAGAGCAAGAAACACTTTTCATCCTTTAGCAGCCAGATAGTAACTATTTTAGGTTTGCAGGCCATAATTGCTCTGTTGTGACTAGTAAAATCTGCCATTAAAGCAGGAAAGGATCTTTAGACAACACATAAACAAATTTATATGTTTGTGTTTTAAACTCTAAGTAACAAAATAGTAATAATAAAGTAATAATAAAAGAGGAATATCTTAAAGGTTATTAGGGGTGATGAAATGTAATTTAAAAAGTATTCTATCATAGTGTTTCTATACACCAATAATGAACTAGCTGAGAAAGAAGTCAAGAAGGCAATCACATTTACAATAGCTACAAAAAATTAAAACACTCGGAATACATTTAACCAACAAGCTGAAAGACTTCTACAAGGAAAACTGCCCCAAACTGATGAATACGATTATTAATTAATCTTATTACTAATAAGTTGTTTGTGAAGAGTACACAAATAAGTAGAAAGACATCCCATGCTCATGAACCAGAAGAATTAATATTGTTAAAATAACCATACTGTTAAAAGCTATCTAGAGATTCAATGCATTCCCTATCAAAATACCAATGTCATTTTTCACAGAAATAGAAAAAAGCAATCCTAAAATTCACAGGGCACCAAAAAAATGTACAAATAGCCAAAGCAATTCTGAGCAAAAAGAACAAAGCTGGAAGCATCACTATCAGACTTCAAAATATACTACAGACACAAAAACATTATGGCATGCATAAAAACAGACACGTAGACCAAAAGAAGAGAAAAAAAAGTAAGCCAGAAAGAAATCCACATATTTACAGCCAACTGAGTTTGACAAAGGCACCAAGAACATACACTGGGGAAACAACACCCTCTTCAATAAATGGTGCTTGGAAAAAACAGCTTAAGATTGATTAAAGACTTACTTAAATATAAGACCCAAAAGACCCAAAAATATAAAACTACTGGAAGAACACATAGGGAAACATTCTGTCTCGGAAAAGCTTTTATGGCTAAAACCTTAAAAGCACAGGCAACAAAAACAAAATGAGATAAATGGGACTATATTAAACTGAAAACATTCTGCACAGCAAAGGAAACAATGGAGTGAAGAAACAACCTTAGAATGGGAGAAAACATTTAAAAACTATTCATCCAACAAGAGACTAATATCTAGAATATGCAAGTAACTCAAACAACAGTAACAACAACAACAAAAACACCAAATAATCCCATTAAAAAGTGGACAAAGGACACAAATGGACATTTCTCAAAAGAATACATACAAATGGCTAAAATGTATACGGAAAAAATACTCAACATCACTAGCCATTAGGGAAATGCAAGTCAAAACCATAATGAGTTATTATCTTACCACAGAATGATTATTATTTAAAAGACAAAAAGTAACAGATGCTGGCGAGGATGCAGTGAAAAGGGAACTCTTATACAATATGCATTGGAATGTAAATTAGTACTGCCACTATGGAAAACAGTGTGGAGACTTATTTAAAACTAAAATATAACTAGCATATAATCTAGCAATCCTATTACTAGGTATTTATTCAAAGAAAAATCAGTATATCAAAGGGATTCCTGCATTTTCACATTTATTACAGCACTATTCACCGTAAGAAAGATATGGAAGCAATCTATGTTGCCATTAGTGGATGAATGGATAAATAAAATGTGGCATATATACACAATGGGATGCTATTCAGCCATAAAAGAAAGAATAAAATCATTTTATCTGCAGCAACATGGATGGTACTGAAGGTCACTGATGAGTGAAATAAGCTAGGCATGGAAAGACAAATATCACGTTCTCACTCAGGTGTGGGAGCTAAAAAACATTGATCTCATGAACATAGTGAGTAGAATGATAGACACTGGAGGTTGGAATAGGTATGTAGGTAGAAGGGGGATTAAGATAAGTTGGTGATGGGCACAAACATATAGTTAGATAGAACGAGGAAGTTCTATTTTTCAATAGCAGAGTAGGAAAACTATAGTTAAAAGCAATTTATTGTATATTTAGAAGTAGCTAGAAGAGAGGACTAGAAATGTTCCAAACACATAGAAATGATAATTACTTCAGGTGCTGAACACCCCAAATACCCTGATGTAATCATTATACAGTCCACGAATGTAAAAAAAATCATACATACCCCATAAATATGTACAAGTACTATATCAATAAAAAACAAAATAAATTCAATTAACTTAAAAAACAGTAGAAAAGAAGAACATAGATACAAAAGATATATTGTGTTCTGCAAATACATATAGAATTATGGTAGAATTAAACCCAACTGTATCCAAAATTACATTAAATATAACTAAACAATCCAGAAAAAAATAGAAATTAAAGACATATTTTGTGCTAATTTTAAGTGGCACACTCATATATAAACATAGAGATAAGTCCTTAAAAAAACAACTACACAAATGCTAAGCAAAAGAAAGCAAGTATGACTATGATAATACTGGATAAAGTGAATACTACATAGATAGAGATATTTTACATTGATAAAAAGGTTAATTCAAAAGGAAGACAACAATATTAAATGTATATAGATCTAATAGCACAGATTCAAAATACATGAAAACAGCAGTCAGAATTAAAGGGTAAATAAATCAGTAGTTATTTTTGAGAATTCAATGACTCTCATGGAGCGGAGCAAATACTGTAGATAAACTAACCCTAAGAATATAGAAGACCTAACAAACACCGTCAACCCCCTTGACCTAAATGATATTTTCAAAATACTATACCTGAGAATAACAGAATACACATTCTTTTCGTATACACATGGAACATTCATCAAGATAGACCATGTACTATACCACAAAACCAATCTTAATACATTTTCAAAGATTGAAATCTTAGAGATTATATTTCTGACCACAGGAGAAATAATATAAATCATTAACAATATGATATCTAAAATATACTCCAAATATTTGGAATTAAAAAAAACACTTTTAATAATCCATGGGCTAAAAAAATCACAAGAAAAATTAGAAAATATTTTAAACTGTGGAATAATACCAGTAAGATGTATCAAAATATATGGGATTCAGCTAAAAGCACTGCTAGCAGAAAATTTATTTAGTTACCTGCTTATATTAGAAAAGATGTCAAATCAACAATCTAAAATTCCACTCAACAAAACTAGAAAAGAAAGAACAAATTGAACTCTAATGAAATGTAAAAAAGATAAGAATAGGAATCAAAATCAATGAAATAGTGATTGTACAAAAAATAAAAAAATTAATAGTATTGAAAGTTGATTCCTTGGAAAAATGGAAAGATTGATATACTCCTGCCAAGAATGAAGAAGAAAAAGGGAAGAAATCACCAATTATTCTTATTCAGAATGAAAGAGAACATATGATTACAGATTCTGAATATATAAAAAGGAAAATATGGAAATATTATAAAAATATTTCTTCCAATAATATTAAAACCTTAAATGACTTAGACAAAATTTTTGAAAAACACAACAAAGATGGAAAGAGAAGAAATGAAAAATCTGAATCAATTATCAAAAATCTTCCATCAAATATCACCGTAGTTATATGTATAATAAGTAATGACTGTAGAAATGAAAAGCATAGGCTAGTGATAGTAACAAAATGTTAGTCAATGAAGGTTTTATGTCCTTGACACTGGAGAAACACAGAGAAAATCCATTTGTTCAGGGCAAAAATTGCAACTTTTCTTATGAATATGTGTAAATATTTTACACTAGATCATTAATATTTATGTTTTATTTAAATTTCCTTAGTACTTACTGTAGTTAACACTATATATGCATTACACACTCTTTATACAATAAATTTTAGTAAAATAAGCCTGAGCAATGCTGTCCATTTCCTATTTTATATTTCAAATTTGAGTATGTTTTATGTCAAAATGATAATGAAATTAAATTTGGATTTACTAACTTAAACCCAACCAGACACATCACTGATGTGTTGTGAGTTTTCTAAGAAGAAAACAAAAACAGCTGTTCTCATCATTTTTTCCTGAAAATTTTCCTTTTTTTTTTTTTCTTTCCAATTTTTATTTTAGGTTCAGTGGGTACCCATGCAGGTTTGATACATGGGTAAATTGAGTGTTTCACCAGGATGTGGTGTACGTATAATTTTGTCACCCAGATAATCAGCATAACACCCAATAGGTATTTTTTCAATCCTCGTCTTCCTCCTACCCACCACCCTGAAGTAGGCCCCGGTGTCTGTTGTTCCCTTCTTTGTGTTCATGTGTCCTGAATGTGTAGCTCCCACTTGTAAGTGAGAACATGCAGTATTTGGTTTTCTGTTTCTACATTAATTCACTTAGGATAATGGCCTCTAGCTCCATCTATGTTACTGGAAAGGACATGATTTCTTGCTTTTTATGGCTGCATAGTAGTGCATATATATATATATATATATATATATATGTGTGTGTGTGTGTGTGTGTGTATATATATAATGTGTATATATAATGTGTATATATATAAAATGTATATATATATAATGTGTATATATATATCTATATATATAATATTTTTATTATCCAGTCAACCACTAATAGGAATGTAGGTTGATTCCATGTATTTGATATTGTAACTATTCCACAATGAGCAAATGTATACATGTGTTGTTATGGTAAAATGATTTATATTCCTTTGGGAATATATGTGCAATCATGGAATTGCTGAGTTGACTGACAGTTCTATTTTAAGTACTTTGAGAAATCTCCAGACTGCTGTCCACAGTGGCTGAACTAATATACATTCCCACCAGCTATATATGAACATTCCCTTTACTCTGCAACTAAATAGCTTCTGTTATTTTTTGACTTTTTAATAATAGCCATTCTAACATTTGAGATGGTATGTCATTGTGGTTTCAATTTGCTTTTCTCTAATGATTAGAGATGTCGAGGATTTTCTCATGTTTGTTGGTCATGTGTAAGTCTTATTTGAAGAATTGTCTGTTCATGAACTTTGCCCATTATTAATAATTTTGTTCGTTTTTAAAAACACACTTTTAGTAATCCATGGGCTAGGGAAAATCTTGTCAATTTGTTTAAGTTACTTACAGATTCTGGATATTTGACCTCTGTTGGATGCATAATTTGCAACTATTTTCTCACATTCTGTAGGTTGTTCATTTAGTCGATTGGTTTCTTTTGCTGCAGAGAAAGTCTTTAGTTTAATTAGGTCCCATTTGTCTATATTTATTTTTGTTGCAATTTCTTTTGGAGACTTCATTATGAGGCCTTTGCCAGGGCTGATGTCCAGAATCTAGGACTTTTTCTAGAGTTTTATAGTTTTAGGTTTTAAATGTATTTAATCCATCATTGGTTAATGTTTTTGTATCGTTAAAGAAAAGCATTCAGTTTCAATCTTCTGCATATGGTATCCCAGCACCATTTATTACATAGGGAGTCCTTTCCCCATTGTTTTTTTTTTTTGTCAGTTTCTTGAATATCAGATGGCTGTGTTGTGCAGCATTATTTCTGGTCTCTCTAATCTGTTCCACTGGTCAATGTTTCTGCTTTTGCACCAGTACCATGCTATTTTAGTTACTGTAGTCTTGCAGTATACTTTGATGTTAGGTAGTGTGATGCTTCCAGATTTGCTCCTTTTGCTTAGGATTTCCTTGGCTATTCAGGCTCTTTTTTAGGCCCCAATGAATTTTAGAATAGTTTATTTTTTTCAGGGAAAAATGATGTTGGCAGTTTGATAGGAATAACATTGAATATGTAAATTGATTTTTGCAGTATAGTCATTTTAACAATATTGATTTTTCCAAATCCATGAGGATGAAATATTTTTCTATTTGTGTCATCTCAGATTTATGGAATAAGAATAGGAATCCTTGCTCTTTTTTGCTTTTTATTTGCTTGATTGATTTTTCTCCATCCTTTTACTTTGAGAATATCAATGTCCCTGCATGTTAAATGAATCTATTGAAAACAGCATACAATTGGGCTCTATTTCTTTATCCAATTTCCCACTCTGTGCCTTTTAAGTGGGACATTTAGCCCATTAATGTTTAAGGTTAATATTGATACATGCAGATTTGATCCTGTCGTCATGTTGTTAGCTGATTTTTTATGTAGACTTGATTGTGTAGTTGCTTTATAGTGTCAATGATCTATGTTCTTATGTGTGTTTTTTGTGTTGGCTGGTAACAATGTTTCATTAAGGATATTTTCTAAGGCAGGTCTGGTGGTAACAGATTTCATTAACATTTGCTTTCTTAAAAGGATTTTCTTTCTTCTTCATTTATAAGCTTAGTTTGGCTAGGCATACAATTCTTAATTGGAATTTATTTTCTTGAAGGATGCTGTATATAGGCCTTCAATCTCTCCTGGCTTGTATAATTTCTGCTTAAATGTCTGCTGTTAGCCTGATGACATTCCCTTTGTAGGTGACCTTCCCCATCTCCTTAGCTACCTCTAATATTTTTTTCTTTCACATTGTCTTTGGAAAATCTGATGACTATGTGTCTTGGGGATGCTCATCTTGTATAGTATCTCACAGGAGATAATGATAATTTTTAAATTATTTTTTCTTTATTTTTTTCTGAATGACATAATTCATAGAGCCAGTCTGTGATCTCTGAGATTTTTTTTCTCAGCTTGGTCTACTCTGCTGTTAATATTTTCAATTGTGTTATAAATTTATGTTAGTGAGTTTTCTAGCTATATTATATCTATGGGTTTGGTTCTTTCTTAGAATGGCTATTTTATCTTTCATCTCTTGAGTCATTTTACTGGATTCCTTAGATTCCTTGAAATAGGCTTTAACTTTATTCTGAATCCCAGTAGTCTTCATTGCCACCCATATTCTAAATTCTGTGAGTCATTTCTGCCATTTCATTCCAGTTAAAAAACATTGCTGGGGAGCTAGCATGGTTGTTTGCAGGTAAGAAGACACTCTACCTTTCAGAGTTGCCAGAATTATTTCACTGGTTCTTTTTTATCTGTGTGGACTGATGTTCCTTTAACTGTGGTATAATTCGATTACAGTCACTTGGCTTCATTTCTGAATGTTTGCAATAGGCCAAGGCTTTGTGCAAGATCTTTATTTGTGGCTGAATTATGCTCATTGGTTTCACTGGTGGGCATATTAGTAAAGCATATTTGTTTTTGAAATTTGGGCTGTAATCCAGTAGATGGTGCTTAAGCATAATAGTAGTTAAATAGCCTCTTACTTTGTTGCACAGCTGCTCTGTATTTCCTTGCATTTGCAGCTATGTTCCCACTCAGTGCTGCTCTGAAAGTGTGGGCCCCTCTGCCGCTCAGATACTGGCTGCAGATCTCAGTTTCACACTTCCAGATTGCACACTACAACCCTGGGGTGAGTTTAGGCTTCAAGTTCCTTTCCCAGCTTGGAGGCAAGAGGGGAATAGACCTTGGCAATGGCAATGGCAGTGGGCCATTTACTTGTCTCTTGTGGTTCCAGTCCAGAGGGACAGAGAACTATTGCTAATCAGAAAAATCAGGTGGAGTTGGGGCAACTGTGTTTCAGGCCCAAGCCTGGGAGCCCTTCCTGGTGAAGAGCAGGGAGTGTTGGGGGTGGGAAAATGGGGAAGACAATTTGGCCTCTTTTTGCAGGGCAGCTGTGGCATGCTGGAAGTGTAAGTAAAGCACTCAGGTTCTTTTTTCCTTCCCCAGACTGGTAGCAAAGAGGGCAGATACCACTGTAGCAGCAGAGGCAGAAGGGCTGTCAGTTGCCTCTAGGAACTCCACGCCTGAGACACGGAGCCACTGAAAATGAGAACGCTCAACCAGGGGTGGGCTGGCTGCATTGTGGGCCCAAGGTGGGGGTACCTACCTGCTGAAGAACAGGGGGTTGGTGGCTCACAGGGATGAGGGGCTGGGTTCCTCTCCATTTGGCAGCTTGGGCACACTGGAGGTGCCAGGACAGCAAAGAGTGTCTTTTTTCCCCAGCGCAGTGGCAACAAGGGAGGTACTGCTACATTGGCAATGGCAAAGGTGCTGTCTGTTTCCTCTGAGAACTCCAACGCAGAAAGACATAGAGGCGCTGCCAATGAGATTGTTCAGCCAGGGGTGGGGCAGTTGCACTGTGTTTCCAAGCTGGGAGCCCTGCCTTGTGAAGAGCAGGAAGTCTGGGACTCACAGGGAAGAGAGACTGGGCTCCTCTCTGTATGGTGGCTGCAGCATGCTGGAGGTGCCAACAAAGTCATCAGGGTCTTTGTTCTTTCTCCAGCCCAAAGGCAGCAAGTGCAGTACCACTGCAGTGTCAATGGCAGAGAGCTTTTGGGTTGTATTTGGGATTTTCTCCCTAGAGAAATACAGAGCCACCACCAACTGAGGTGATCAGGCAGTGGTAGAGTGGCTGTGTTGTGGGTCCAGGTTGGGAGACCTTGCCCGTTGAGGAGTAGCAGGGGCAGTGACCCACATGGAGAAGAGTCTTGAATGCAGATCTGTGAGTATCCTGAGTGCTCAAGCAAGGGTGAGGTGGCTGTGCTGGGGTCCCAGGCCAGTGGGCTTTGGCTGGTGAGATGTAGAAGAGGCAAAGCCTCCGATCTCTGTGCTCCTCAGCACCCTGGATGTGGCCACTACCCTGTGGGCACGTGAGAGATCCTGGCTTCCTTGTTGGCAGGACTATGGCAGCTGGCACCAGGGTTTTCAGAGATCCAGGGCCCTCTGGGCTCCAAGTGGGTCTGAGTGGTGGCTCTGCTCAGACTCCACATGGCTCTGCATGTCAGTCTGGAGGCCCCATGAGTAGCAGGTCAAGGGAATCTCCTGTGCCCAGGATTGCAAAGGTCCATAGGTCCATAGCAGAAGTGTAGGTCCCTGAGAGCTCTCACTCATTCACTATTTCCCCATGTTGGAGAGCCTCCCTTGGCTCTGCACTAATCCAGGATGGGCAGCTCACCTGTGTTGCTCCTCTCTGCTCTCCACGAGTCATGTTGCTTCCTTGATGAATCCCAGTGTATCCTCCTGGATGACCCAGATGAAGAGCTAGTATTTACTTGCCACTCTATCTCCTCTGTGTGAGAGTAGTGCACACTAGCTGCTTCCCCTCAGCTATCTTGGCACCTCTGCTGTTTTTACTTTTAATTTAGCACAAAGTGTTGCAGTCAGTAATGCAAGGGAACTATGGAGGATCCTTGTTTAATAATATTAATAAAGAGTATTTCAGAGATATAAAAATATATAAAATATATGAAAGTAAATAATTAACCATTTAAACAGTCACTGTCACTTGATAAAAAATATAAAAATATTTAAAAGAATGAAGTATATTGCCAGATTTTGGGGGTCATGGTGTCCTTTATTGCTAGTATGTATATATATATATATATATATATACACACACACACACATATATATGTATACACACACATTATATATATATGTGAAGTATTAAAGTAAACAAGCTAAGAAGGCAAGCTAAAGCTGAAAAGCTGACTTATATTACACACTGTATTAGGATTATCCAGAGAAATGGAACTAATAGATTTATCTATTTATCTATTATCTCTATCTATCTATCTATCTATCTATCTATCTATCTATCTATCGTGTGTGTGTGTGTGTGTGTAAGATATTTATTATAGGCATTAGACATTCTCACGTGATTTTGGAGACCAAGATATTCCACAATCTGCTGTTTGCAAGCTGGAGAATTAGAAAATGCAGTGGTTTAATGTAATCTAAATCTAAAAGCTTGAGAACCAGGGGAGCCAATAGTGTAAGTCTCAGCCTAATTACAAAGGGTTTTTTGTTGTATTTAGTTCCTTCACATATTGGATAATGCCAGCTTACATAGGTGAAGGTGATCTTCTTTACTGAGTCTACCAATTCATAAGTTTGTCTCTTAAATAAACACCCTTACACAAATACCCAGAAATAATGTTTTACCAGTTATCTGGTACATCCCTTAGCCTTGTCAAGTTGACAAATATAATTAACCATTACACATAGACATTGAGATATTATAGGCTTTCATTAATCACTCATCTACTCCAACTTTCTATAATCTGGTAAAGGGGACAGTCACATTTTGAATATGACCTGTGACCCCAATTACGGTTTTAAAATCAATGACCAATGCTTTTCAGATCTTTCTTATTGATCTCTCTAACAGATTCAACTATTTTGATTTTTTCATACTTTTCTCATTTGCCTTTAAATTTTCCAATGACACAGCTCCTCCTGTGTCTCATATTATTACAATCTTCTCCTTCTTAATTGTTATTATAAGATGTTTTAAAAGGTCAATTGGGTTTTGGACTAAAGAATTGAAATTTAAAAGGGCAAAAATAGCTCCGATTATCAAAATATTTAGACAGACATCTGCAAGGACTCATCCAATGAAGGAATCACATCCCCTTTTTCCCCCAAAACAGGTCAAATACAAAAGGAAGAGGACACACATAAAGGATATAAGACATAAAGGATTTAAGACATAAAGGATTTGCCAAAGTTTCAGGTTTTTGAACATCTAATAAGCTCACTTTTTTCTCCTAAAAACCTATTCGGATAACCTACACCCTAAATAATTTCTTTCTGTGTACATACAGCAATATGTACCCACCTCCTTCAGTTTTGAAATACTTAAGGAATAATTGCAAATATGAGTAACTCTACTTACAAGACAGAAATCAGAAAAAAAGTACTATTCTGAGATTATACACTATTACAAATGAGTGATATTTCTATACTCTTCTATTTTACTAAGTAAGAATTTAAGTTAGAGGAGATAAATATTGAAAATATTTTTAAATCTCCAAGGAATAATAATATTTACATGATAAAAGAGCTGTTTTGAGTTTTTTAGAAAAATCTCATTTTTACTAAAAAAAGACAGAGAAAGTAGGAATTCCATATAGAATTCATAATATGACTGTGGATAGAGAGGAAATGTGAAATTTAAAAATTAGGAATTATTTATAGAAATACGTATGTATAAATATATAAATATATACATATGTCTACATATTTGTTTTAGAATAATTTTAAATAATGCAGAAACAAAATATGTACAGAAAAAAATAGGGTAGACTGTCTTTGCCAGCAATATTTTTCTGCCACACCAGCATAAAGTCCATGTTTTGGACTCCTTCTCTAGTATGGAGATTAATGACAAGGGACCATTCATAAGCTCTCTAGACATTATTCAAAAGAGCTTTAATACAAAAATAATGAGAGAGGCAGGGGTGGGTGTGAAATGACAGATGATTGGCAAAACACTGAAAAATCCTTTCCTGTTTCTGTTTCCTCTACTCCTTTAACAGCAACCATAGAATGGCAGTTTGATTAACACTTGATGTTATATTAGCCTCAATCAACTATGATAAGCAATTAGAAAAGTGTATCAGAGGTTGTATTTGTAATTTTTTTTTTTTGAGACAGAGTCTCGCTCTATTGCCCAGGCTGGAGTGCAGTGGCATGATCTTGGCTCACTGCAACCTCCACCTCCCGGGATCAAGCGATTCTCCTGCCTCAGTCTCCTGAGTAGCTGGGATTACAGGCGCCCGCCACAGTGCCCCGTTAATTTTTGTATTTTTAGTAGAGATGGGGTTTTACCACATTGACCAGGCTGGTCTTGAACTCCTGACCTAAAGTGATGCGCCCACCTTGGCCTCCTGAAGTTCTGGGATTACAGGCGTGAACCACTGTGCCTGGCCTGTAATATTTTTTCAAATGAATATATTTTTCTTGAATGAAATATGAATATCAAATAATATAGAGAATATGAACAAGATAATTCAAACCACCTACAATGCCACCACATAGAGATAACTGTCATTAACATTCTGTTGCATGTATTTCTGAACTTTATTATTTACACATATGCATAATATCTATACCATCAAGTGAATCATATTATGCATACTACAATGTTTCATCCTACTTTTATCACTTGATAATATACTATGGGCATCTACTGATGAAAAAATAATGGTTCATATTATTTTTGCCAATACCGTTTGAATTGATATAGAGAATTCCATTAGGTGAATGTTCAGTCATTTACTTAACCCTTTTATGATGATTATTTTGATTATTTTAAATTTTAATACAAGATATAGTTTTTCGTTTTAGATATGCAAACCTTTCTTAAAATGAAAACTTGACCGGGAGCGGTGGCTCACGCCTGTAATCCCAGCACTTTGGGAGGCTGAGTCGGATGGATCACTTGAGGTCAGGAGTTCAAGACTAGCCTGGCCAGCATAGTGAAACCCTGTCTCTACTAAAAATACAAAAAAAATATTAGCCGGGCGTGTTGGTGAGAACCTGTAATCCCAGCTACTCGGGAGGCTGAGGCAGGAGAATCTCTTGAACCTGGGAGGCAGAGGTTGCAGTGAGCCGAGATCCCGCCACTGCACTCCAGCCTGGGCAACAAGAGTGAGACTCCGTCTCAAAAAACAAACAAACAAAAACTCTCAGAGAATTTCAATATATATTTTTTTGAGACGGATCTCGGATCTGTTAGCCCAGGCTGGAGTTCAGTGGCACGATCTCGGCTCACTGCAACCTCCACTTCCCGGTTTCAGGAGATTCTCCCTCCTCAGCCTCTCGTGTAGCTGGGATTGCAGGCATGTGCCACCATTCCTGGCTAATTTTTGTCTTGTTAGCAAAGACGGGGTTTTTCCAAATTGGCCAGGGTGGTCTTGCACTACTCTTCTCCTCAGGTGGTCCGCCCGCCTCAGCCTCCCAAAGTGCTGGGATTACAGGCATGAGCCACTGCACCCGGAATAGGGTCGCAATATTCGAAACACATAATCGTTAAGATACTCTTCTTTTTATTATTATTATTATTATTATTATTATTATTATTATTATTATTATTATTATTATTATAAGTTTTAGGGTACGTGTGCACATTGTGCAGGTTAGTTACATATGTATACATGTGCCATGCTGGTGTGCTGCACCCACTAACTCGTCATCTAGCATTAGGTATATCTCCCAATGCTATCCCTCCCCCCTCCCCCCTCGCCCCACCCCACAACAGTCCTCAGAGTGTGATGTTCCCCTTCCTGTGTCCATGTGATCTCATTGTATACTCTTCTTTAAACAGGAAGTGGGATCCCAAATTCCACTTGTTCAGCATATTCCTCTGCATTGCCAGTGTCCCATGAAGGGGCTCCGTAGAACCACCCAATATCTCTGTAGCTATGGGGCATCCAGAGTTTTGAATACCACTATTATAAGCCAGATTGCACCCAATACCCTTGTGCATACATGTGTATGCACTTGCTTATTTTCATGAGATAAAATGCCTAGGAGTAGAACTGATGAATCAATGAATACGCAGTTTTAATTGTGATGCAATTTATCAATTGGGCTCTAGAGAGAGTACAATTTATATTCCTCCAAATAACCTTGATATTTATTTGCATGTTTTTGGTTATTGGTGAGGTTGATATCTTTTCATGTATATAGTAGCCATTTATGCCTAGCATGCAGTAAATGCCTAGTATTTATGAAATAAATAAATTTATAGGATTTCTTCTGTTAATGAGCTATTTATTTTAATATTGGCATTTTCCTCTTTTATGAACTTATTTGCAAGAAGTTCTTTTGTAGAAAGAATATTAATGTCTGTAGCTTTTTAAAAAATTTTGCTAATTGACCGCTAACATTGTAGTGGGATTTTTATTTATATATACAGTCATGCATTGTTTAATGATGGGGATATATTCTAAGAAATGCATCATTAGCCAATATCATCATTGTGCACATATGAAAGAATGTACTTACACCAACCTAGATGGTCTAGCCTACTGCACACATCGGCTATATGGTTTAGCCTTTTGTTCCCAGGCTACAAACCTGAACAGCATGTAACATGACGAATACTGCAGGAGATTGTAATACAATGGCATGCACAGTGTTTTGTCTTGGCTAGTGCACTAGCGAAGTGCTTATCTTTCTTTGTTAATTTTTTCTGTAAAGGACTTGTTTTCAGCTGTTTGGAGATTGAGGGTGTGTGATAAAATAGTCTCATCAAATGGCTAAAGCAGTTGAATTTGCTAGAAAGGCAGGATTAATTTAGGAAAAGATATCAATTAATTTCATAGCTAATATCCAGTTATCACCTCACTAAAACTTTTGTGGAGTGTATATCAAATCACAGCTATGATTCTAAATTGTAATTATTATAAATTTATGAAGTATCACTATTTAGGAGACAGACGAAGGTCTTTAAAACTTCCTTTCAGATAAGTCGGGGGTATAAAAAGAGAAACCTATCAGCAGGCAAGAAAATGCAGTTTCCCAGTTTTAAATTTTTAAACATAAAAACTTTAAACTTAAAAACAAGGATGTTTTGTACAGAAGAGAGAACAGATGTACACATGTGGTATAATCACTTAAGTATGAGAGAGCACTTAAAAATGTAAAATCATTTTCTCCAAAATATTTCCCCTCAATAGTTGAGAAATAACACTATTTAAATTTTAGGCTCTAAAGAGAAAAAAAAATAAGTTGAGCCCAATCCCTGATGAATACGATTTTTCTCTTTTCCTCCTCTCAGGCATAAGCCTATTTTATTCTTCAAAAAACTTCATACTATATCACCTTTTAAAAAATAAATTCTATCAGTGTGGTTATTTGGAGTTCACCAGCCATCCTGACGCCATTAATTTCAGCACATACCAGAAAAAGCTGAGGTTTTTGTCTTGGTCTTAAAGGATGGGCAGGATGTCAAGGCAGCTATTGATAAGTAAGTCTTTCTGATGGAACCATTAACTGCACTTTGAGTATATTTGAGAATTGTAGGAGAGGAAAAATTCTCAAATAAATAGATTTTTTGCTAACTGAGGATGGTAATAACACTAACAACAATAGGAAAGTGAGCCAATTGAAGAGAAAAGAATAAAGCAAATTCAATTTAATTTTTAGATATGTTGAGTTGAGCTAACAAAACATCCAAGTGAAGATGTCTTTTAGGTAAGTGAGGCCATTTTACTGGAAATTGATGAGAGGGTTAGCAGTCATTTACATAAAAGGTGATAATTGAAACTATATATATATGCATTCAAAGACTACCAATGACCTCCTACTTGCCAGACATGACAGTGGTATTGAGGAATATGTATGATTGGGGAGTATTTTTTTTTCAGGATTACATTTTATACCACATTTTTGGAAAGTCAAAATAAAATAAAGTTGATCAATGTTTGAAAGTTGAAAATAGTTCTACTTATTCAATACTACCTTACTCTAAGATACTAGTAATTACTCAAATAGAATATCTCATCTTTGACACTGACTAATATTAAAAAAGACATTAATAAAAATTTTTGAATCTTTAATTGTAGTTTACTGGAAACTTTCAAATGTTACTGAATCAGCATTGACATCAGCTTTACTGACCTTACATGGCCAATAAAGATTATATAAATAAGAAGTACCTGGGAGGTTACATCCTTGTTCAAATACCTTCAGGAAACCCAGTAGCCCAGAGGTTTATTTGGTGCAAGATAATGATCCTGAAGCATGCATGCTAAGGATATAAAATGGTGTACAGTAGATCTTTTTTTTTTTTACTTCTTTCATCTTTTAGCATAATAATAAGATCTAAAACTGTCCAAGCAGTTTTCTAAATGACATTCAATTTTCTGTTGTATAATCCTGTCAGGTCTTCTGGTGTTCAAAGGTTACACCCCAATCGCCATAGTTCATTGTCTTGCCCTCCATTGAAAGGACCCTATAAACACTGATCCACGAAATAAATTAATGAGATTACAGTTCTAAATCACAGTAGTTCCCCATTGACATTTAGATTAGCAAGTAATTTATTGTAAACTAAGACCCGTGATTTTCACTAGCACAAATGGGTCAAGTAGAGAAATAACAGTGGAAAGATTATTGCCATAAAAACACACTCTACGTACCTTAAATTCTATCAAGATTAAAATCATATGTCTTTTTATAGATTGCATAGCCTTCCACTCTGAAGCTGCATGATATTGGGAAAAACAACTCATGAAAAGTAGCTATGAGACTGCTAAGGCCTTGATTCTAGCAGATAGTTAATAGATAGCACCAAAAAAAGGTTTAATTTTTAAAGAAATCCTGAGAAAAATATTGTAACATAAGCAAAATCTTCTTTAAATCACAGTTATTATTCCAGGAATAATACCACTACTACATTAAAAGAAACATATATGTGGTGCGCATTCTCCTCAAATAAGTTCATAGTTTCTCTGTAGATGGTTCTTTTAATTATTCTAGGCAGTGAATTATTAATATTTGTTAGAGCAATTGATTTTTTCAGAAAATTAAAGAGAATTAATGTTGGCATACATACAAATAACTTACAAACAACGCAAACAATTGCCACGGAACAATAATTATAAAGAGACAGCTTTAAAAAGTGATGTAATGAAAATCTCATGTCCTGTTATTGGAATCATACCTGTTTGTGAAGGGTATTTTGGGGATGAGAGAGTGAATACATAGCAAAGTTAATTAGATGCTCAAGGAGCATTTTGGAGGAACAGTGGATGCTGTGAATAAGCTTTCATCAAAATAGCAGTGAAATCAACTAATTAGGAACTTTTACTTTTTGAATGATTTATGCAATCTAAGGGCCATTGCTGGATGGCTCAAAAACCAGAGTGGGGTTAGAGGAATGTGGAGAAACAAAAAGTCAAAGGAGGTAGCTCACATATTGTAAGAAACATTAGGGGGAAAATGCCAAGTATAAAGTAACTTTAATAAAGTTATATTGTGTGGTAAACTTTGACTATGTCTAATATAATATCTTTAGTGAAAAAAACACTTTCTAATGAGTTATAAAATTTAATCATTTTCTTTTAAGAAACAGTGAAATACTGAGTATGGTTTGAGAATAAAAGTGGTGTGAGGCATATACACAGGAATTCAGTCATAGCTGAGTTATACTCATGGGCTTTGCCTTTAGTGGCTGTGGCAAGGTTTGGGAAAATGATGTTCACAGTGTTTCACAGACAGTATATTATCATTTATGTTTCTGCTCATTGAAAGATGCATTTATTTTGTCTTATGTTCATTTTAATACATAATTTTTGAAGTATAATTAACATGCATGTATTTGGCATATGTAGACACACATGCTGTTAATTATCTTTGATAAATACCTAAGAATAGAATGGCTGGACTATACAGTAATTGGACTCTAAAGTTTACAAGAAACTGCCAAACATCTTTCTTAAGTGATTATACTATTTTATATTCTCATCAGCAGCATATGAGGGTTCTAGTTGATTGCTCCCAAAAAGGAACCATTGCAAACTCGGTCTTCCATTAGGAATGACTTTTGCAACCAAAGGGCACACAATAAGAGTGACAGGAGTTGGAGCAAGATGGCCAAATAGAAGCCCCCACCAATTGTCCTCTCCACAGGAACACCAAATTTAACAACTATCTACACCAAAAAAGGCACCTTCGTAAGAACCAAAAACCAGGTGAGTGATTACAGTAGCTGGTTTTAAATTCATATCACTGAAAGGGGCACCGAATAGGGTAGAAAAGACAGTCTTGAATTACCAACACCACCTCATTCCCATTTGCCAGCAGTAGCTGTGTGGCACAGAGAGAGAATCTGTGGCTTGGGGGAGCGAAAGAACAGCAATTGTGGGACTTTGCATTATAAATCAGTCTCGTCAACATTAGGTAGAACTCAGCCAACACCCATGGAGAGAGCATTTAGACCAGCCCTAGTGAGAAGGAGTCACCCATCCCAGTGGTCAGAACTTTTGAGTTTCAGCAAGCCTTGCAACCGTGGGCTATAGTGGTCTGGGATCCTAAAAAAAAACCTTGAAAGGCAGTCTAGGCCATAAGGACTGAAACTTCTAGGTAAATCCTAGTTCTATGCTGGGCTTGTAGAGCCAGTGGAATTGGGGGCACATGACTTAATGAGACGCCAGCCAGAATGGCTCAAAGAGTGCTTGCATCACCCTTCTTCCCACCACAGGTAGCACAGCTTGCAGCTTTGAAAGAGACCTCTACCTTCCATTTGAGGAGAGGAGAGGAGAGGTAAGAGTAAAGAGGACTTTGTCTTGCAACTTGGATACCAGCTTAGCCACAAAAGAGTAGGGCACTGGTCAGAGTCATGAGACCCCCATTTCAAGTTGTAGCTTCTGGACATTTCTAGACAGACCCTGAGCCAGAAAGGAACCTGCTGCCTTGAAGGGAAGAACCCATTCTCAGCAGAATACATTATTTGCTGACTAAAGAGCCCATGGGTCCTGAATAATCAACAGCAGTACCCAGGCAGTACACGCTATGGGCCTTGGGCGAGACTCTGAGACATGCTGGCTTCAAGTGTGACCCAGCATATTCATAAGTGTGGTGGCTATGAGAAGAGACTCTTTATGCTTGAGAAGAGGAGAGAAAAGAATAAAAGGAACTTTACCTTATAGCTTAAGAAACAGCTCGGCCACAGGGGGAAGAGCACCAAGTAGGTTCTGGTGTCCCTGATTCCAGGCCTTGGCTTTTGGATGGTGAAAGATTCTCCCCAGGGCCTGAAAGCTTGAAGAGATAAGTAACTCACTCCCTTCTCAGGCCCAGTCCCAAGGCGCAAGGCCACTTGCACCGGCAGCGTGCATCAGCAAGATAACAGAAGCAAGAAGAGAGCTGGCCGGAAGACACCTACCCTGGCCGGAAGACACATACCCCGGAAGATGGAGAAAGAGGCTGTTTGGGTACTATGTAGCAGTCACGTCAGACTGGGACACTTCCTGTTTACAAAGGACTATAAACGCCTGTCCAGTCCTCTTTTGGGGCTGATGCCATTTTAGGCCTCAGCCCTCCTGCACCCAGGTGCTCATTAAAACAGCGTGTTGCTCCAAACCGCCTGGTGTTGTCTGTTGGCGCGCTCTCAGGATTCAAACCAATATAAGAACCTTACAGATGGCATCTCTGAACTGACCCTGGGACAAAGGAGATCTCACTTCCCTGAGGGGTGAGTCCCAAGTCTGGCAGCATTCACCACAAGTTGACTGAAGAGCCTTTGGGCATTAAATGAATGTGAGTGGTAGCCTGACGGTAATCCCCATGGACCTGTGCTGATGATGGACATTAGGAGAGTCTTCTCTGCCTGTGTAAAGGGGAGGAAAGAGTAGGAAGGACTTTGTCCTGTGGATTTAGTGCTAGCTTAGCCACAGTAGAAAGGAGCATCAGGTAGATTCCTAAGGTTTCCAACTACAGAACCTGAGTCCTTAACAACATATCTAGATCTGCCTGAGAAACAGGGTAACTAACCACCCTGAAGACAAGGACATAAGACTGGCTGACTTTGCCACCTTCTGATTGTAGAGGCTTAGGGCCTTGAGCGAACAGAGGAGACAGCTAAGTAGTGGTTACAGTCGGCCTTGGGAGAGACCTAGTGCTGTGTTCACTTCAGGTCTGACCCAGCACAGTTTCAGTGGTTGTGGCCATAGGGGTGTTTGTGTTACCCTACCCTTGTTCCAGCCAGCTCAGAACATAGAGAAAGGGGGAGACTCAATTTGTTTGGGAGAAAGTAAGGGAAGAGAACAAGAGTCCCTGCCTGGTAATCCAGAGAATTTTTCCAAATGTTATCAAGGACCATAAAGGTGATAACACTGAGTCTGCAAGAACTAAAGCATTGCTGGGCTTGGGGTGCCCTCTAACACAAATATGGGGCAGTGACCAAAATTTTAGATCACAACACTTAAGTCCCTTTGAATACCTGGAAAACATTCCCAACAAGGATGTATCTAAACAAGCCCACACTGACAAGACTACAATAAGTACCTAACTCTTCAGTGCCCAGACACTGAGGAACATCCACAAGCATCAAGACCATCCAGGAAAACACGACCTCACCAAATGAAATAAATAATACACCAGGCACAAATTTCAGAGAGGCAGATAAATGTGGCCATTCAGATAGGGAATTCAAAATAGCTGTTTTGAGGAAACTCAAATAAATTCAAGATAACACAGAGAAACTCAGAATCCTATCAGATAAACTTAACAAAGACATTGAAATAATTTAAAAGAATCTTACTGAATTGGCAAATTGACATACTGAAGAATGCATCAGGATCCTTTATTGGCAGAATGGGTCAAGCAGAAGAAAAAAATCAAGAGCTTGAAGACAGGCTATTTGAAAATACACACTCAGAGGAGACAAAACAAAAAAGAATAAAAAGTGAAGCACAATGAAAAGATTTAGAAAATAGCCTCAACAGGGCAAATCTAAGAGTTATTCACCTTAAACGGGAGGTAGAGAAAGAGATGGGGTAGAAAAATTATTCAAAGAAATAAAATAGGAGGACATCCCAAACATAGAGAAAGATATCAATATTCAAGTACAAGATGATTATGGAACACCAAGCAGATTTAACCCAAAGAAAACTACATCAAGGAATTTAATAATCAAACTCCAAAAGGTCAAGGATAAAGAAGGGATGCTAAAATCAGCAAAAGAAAATAAGCAAATAACATACAATGGAGTTCCAATACATCTGGCAGCAGACTTCCTAATAAAAGTGTTACAGGCTAGGAGAGAGAGAGAGAACATATTTAAAGTGCTGAAGGAAGAAAACTTTTACCCTAAAATAATATATCTGGTGAACATATCCTACTGTGAACCCAGAAAATCCGAGACAGGTCTCAGTTAATTTAGAAAGTTTATTTTGCAAAGGATGAGGATGCACCCATGACACAACCTCAGGAAGTGCTGACAACATCTGCCCAAGGTGGTCAGGGCACTGCTTGGTTTTATACATTTTACGTAGACATGAGACATCAATCAATATATGTAAAAAGTACATTGGTACAGTCTGAAAAGGAGGGACGACTTGAAGCAAAGGCAAAAAGACTCCAAGTAGGGAGGGAGCTTCCAGGTCACAGATAGGTGGTACACAAACAGTTACATTCTTTTGAGTTTCTGGTTAGCCTTTCCAAAGGAGGCAATCCAATATGCAACTATCTCAGAGAGCAGAGGGGTGGCTTTGAATAGAATGATAGGTAGGTTTGCCCTAAGCAGTTTCCAGCTTGAGTTTTCCTTAATGATTTTGGGATCCCGAACTATTTTCCTTTCACATTTCCCCCCTTTTCTTTTAAAAAATTTTGTGGAGAAAGAATTTTACAAGAAAATGAGTCTCTGGTCTCAGGTTTCATCTGATCTCTCATGGCTACGATGGTTTATGCCTAGATGGGGAGGTCCCAAAAGCTCATCATTAGCAGGTTGTGAAGTCTCATGTTCTGTGAAGGTAAAATAGGGAGGAGGAAGGGAGAAACAACAACAACAAACAAACAAAAAATCTTGGAAAAATTGATATAGGGCATATTACTCTGAAGCCCATACATTAGTAGGCAGGTATGAAAGTGGCTTATGTATGTAAATAGGTTGCTGTTATTTTCTGCTGAAGTTTAACTTGTCTGGCTTCAGTTCGCAAGATTTTAAGAAAGCACAGCTTAGTTTTCAGTGATTCCAAATTAGGAAAAATGGGGGAAAAAAAGAAGAAAAGAAATTGAAAACATTATTTTGAAGACTTGTAGCCAAGAAAAATTAGAATTTGGTCCAAGCTGTAGAAAATAATAAAAATTGAATGAAACATTAGGGAAGACTAGAATCTAACAACAAGTCTCCTGTACTTTTGAAACATAATTTTTTCTCTCCCCAGTTTCCCATTTTTACTAAAGACTAGTCATGGTAGGACTGGTTTGCTTTATTATACTTGGCCTAATTATTTGTGTACAGTGCAGGAAGAATAATTTTTTACATAGGCTTTTAAATTGGCTTTGATGGAACTTTGTTCCATAAGAGGAATCTCAAGGCTTTTTAAAGCTGAGCCCAGCCATGGATTTGTGCGACCAAAGTCCAGAAGAAGGTCTCGTTTTAGTAGTAAGGAATAGTTAGCCCCAGGTTAGCATTGTTCTAGAACTAATGTTTCCTAAGCAACACACAAAAGTATCAAACTTTTCCAAGTAACCTAACTGCAGCATAGAGCAAGCCTCAAGTAAAATTATAGAAATACAAAAATAATTAGCACTCACTGGGGTAGAGGAAAGACTGAACATGTTGAATGGACTGATACAGTTTGGATGTTTGTCCTCTTCCAATCTCATGTTAAAATGTGATTCCCACTGTTGGATGTGGGACCTGGTGCTAGGTGATTAGATTATGGGGATGGATCTCCTATGATTGGTTTAGCGCCATCCCCTTGGTGACAAGTGAGTTATCACTGAGTTCACACGAAATCTGGTTGTTTAAAAGGCTGGGACCTTCCCTGCCCCTCACTCTCTTGTTCCTCATCTTGCCATGTGATATATTGGCTCCCCTTCACCTTCTGCCATGATTGTAAGTTTCCTGAAGCCCTCACCAGAAGCATATGTCAGCAGTATGCTCCCTGTACAGCCTGCAGAACTGTGAGACAATTAAACATCTTTTCTTTATAAATTATCCAGCCTCAGGTATTTCTTTATAGCAACTCAAGAATGGCAGAATACATGAACACCTGGAAAATAGAAAAAGACCAAAATCTAACTTTTACAGATAAAAATCAGAATTTGTAAGTTGAAAATTACATTAGATTTAACATTGCCAAACAAAGATTGGTGAACTTGAAGACACAGCAATGAAACTATTCAAGATTAAACGTAGACCAAAAAATCAATCAAAGAGGGTACCCATGAGCTGTGGGAAAGCTTCAGATGGCCTAGTAAACATTTGGTGAATCAACTAAACACTAATATAGGTAATGTTGTAAATGAAACTAAGATTATTAATCTGCTGAAAAGGGGAGATTATTAGATTATCCAGGTGAGCTCAATGAAATTATGCGAGCTCTTAGAAACAGTGTAAAAAGCTGAAAAAACAATCTGAGAGATGAGACAGAAAAGGAATTTGGAGAAGTTCAAATTATGAGAGAGACTTGACCTACCATGGCCAGGGTGGAGGTAGCCTGGAAAACATAAGAATGAGTGTCAGTAGTCTCCGGGTACAAAAAAAAAAATAGTTCCTGGCAGACAGCCAGCAAGAAATTTGGGAACCTAGCTATACAAACACAAGGAATTAAATTTAGCCACCAAACTAAATGGCCTTGAGGTGATTTTTTATTTTTCCAAAACCTCCCAATAAGAGCCCTGTTTGACTGACAACTTTCTTTCCACATTGTGAAACCTAGAGCAGAAAAACTTGCCAAGCCAAACTGGAATACTGATATACAGAACAATGAGATAACACATTTGTGTTGTTTCTAAAGCCTTTAAAGTATGTGGTAATGTCATGGCAACAATAGAAAACTAATACAAACTGCATAGAAAAATAAACAAACCAGCATTCATAGTTAAAGATATCAATAACCCTTTCTCAATAATTGATAGAACCAAAATTAAAAATAAATAAGTTTATAGTACACTTGAATGAGAGCATCAACAAGAGGATTCAATTAACACTTCTAGAATACTCCACCAATCAACAACAGGATTCATATCCTAAATAAATAATAGTTTCACTCTCTTCCTTTTGGTTGTAAAAATAATTTCCCAGTGGAAGCCTGAGTTTAAAAGTGATCCTTTTATGAAGCAAGTTGAACATTCATACGCTGATGGTGGGAACATAAAATGGTACCTTGCTTAGGAAAGCAGTTTGGGAGTTTCTCACAAATTGAAGCATTCATGTATCCTGTGACCCAGTCATCCTGCTCCTAGGTGTTTGCCCAAGAGAAATTATAACATATGACTGCACAAAGACTTGTCCATGAATATTCATGACAACTTTATTTACAGTAGTCAAAAACTAGAACTGATCTACATATTCATTGGCAGGGAAATGGATAAACATATTGTTGTATATTCACACAGTGGAATACTCTTCAGGGATAAAAATTAATTAAATACAAACATCCAACAACATAGATTAATCTGAGAATAATTATGCCAAATGAAAGAAGCCAGACAAAATGGAGTAATATTGTATGATTTCATGTATATAACAATTTTTACAAAATACAATCTAACCTACGATGACAGAAAGGAGTTCAGTGCTTTTCTGGGGTGAGTGGTACAGAGAGGGATGTGAGTAAGGGCTTATAAAGTGACACTAGGGGCCTTTTGCCGGTGATGGGATGTTCATTCACTTGATGGTAGTGGTGGTTTTATGGGTGCATATATGGTCATGTATCACTTAATATGGGGATATGTTCTAAGAAATGCATCATTAGTATCATTGTTGTGCAAACTTCACAGAGTGTACTTCAAAAATCTAAATGGTATATTGCCTACTGTATGACTATATATATACATGTACACATATATACAGTATAGCCTATTGCTCCTAGGCTACAAACCTATACAGCATGTAACTGCAATGAATACTGTAGGCTTTTGTATCACAATGGTTAGTATTTTTGTATATAAACATATATAAACATATAAAAGTTTCCTAACAATACAGTATAAAAGATAAAGATAAAACATGGTATACTTTTATAGGCACTTACCATGCATGAAGCTTGTGGGACTGGAAGTTGCTCTGGGTGAGTTAATGAGTGAGTGGTGAGTGAATGTGAAAGCCTAGGAAATTATTGTATATTACTGTAGACTTTATAAACACTGTACCCATAGGATACATTAAATTTATGAAGAAATATTTTTTCTTCAATAATAAATGATTTTAAAGGCTTGTTTACTATTTCGTAACATTTAGCTTAAAACACAAGCATGTTGTATAGCTGTACAAAATATTTTTATATCCTTATTCTATAAGGTTTTTTCCATTTAAAAAAATTTTTAATTATTTTTTACTTCTTAAACTCTTTTTTTTGTTAAAAACTACAACACAAACACACACATTAGCCTAGGCAGACATAGGGTTAAGAACATCAATATCACTGT